>NC_000003.12:169311634-169463149 GCF_000001405.40 Homo sapiens | reverse complement strand
TGTAAAATTACATGTGTGTGTTATTTTGTATGCTCACAGACATATAAATGTGTGCCCACACTGTCCATGAAATATCTTGAACTGAGCATTTGTCCAAGTGCTTCATTAGCTTAAATGCTGAAAATGAGTTTTTATGCTTGCCAACAGGAAAACTTTTTGTCCTATTGAACTGGGCTTTGAAAAACAGCTTCTTATTTGGTAAATAAAAATTAGCCTTTATGTTTCTTACATGAGGTTGTTCTTTAAAATTTGCATGTTTTACAAAGTTTCATGAACAAATAATTTAGACACAAGAAAATTTTGTTTTTAAGAAATTTTCAAAATAATTATTCTGTAAATCCTAGAATATAGACTATATTTGCCTTTGGCATATACATTTACAAATAAAGACTACCTTTACAGTATTCATTAATGGCAACAGAGTTACTTGTTGAGTTTGAAAGAAAAAACCCCAAGCCCCTATCCAAGACTGTTTCCAGTTTTTCGTAAGGATGTTTTCCAGTGTGATACAGATAAGTAAATTTAACAGCATAAAAATTTCAAGTCTTCATTTTTTTCCATTAAGCTAAATAGAAAATTAACTGATTTGAGTGCTAACATATGAATTCAAGAAACACATATGGGACATCTAATTTTTGCCAGGAATGTAGTATACACTAAAGATTAATGTTGTAAAAGCAAAACTTCTCACTCCTTGCTCTCAGAGAGCTCCTAATCTAGAACATTGTTGTCTTCTTTTTTCTCTCCTGCCTGCTGGCAAAGATGGGAAAGAGCCCTAAGTAAAAACATCTGGCTGTCTGACATTAAGCCCATCATTCAGCATGTGTGCAATTTTCTCATCAACAGCTTAGTCTTTTGGTGTAAGAATAATATTACATCTATATAATGCTTGAACTCTGGCATGTTGAGCTGTTACCTTTGATTGAGAGTATAGGCTTTCCCTGCTGTCTGCTGGGGCTACCTTCACTGGCTAGAGGATTGAGTTGTTGGTAGAATTTGTCTCTCACTGGATCTCTAGGTTCATGGAAAATCTGCTCAGAGGTGTCTAAAATTTACACTTTGGAATGCCACCAGGGTTTGGCGATTGAGAGCCCAGTTACACGCTAGTGTATTTGGAAATACACTAGCGAATATTTGGATAGTGAATTTGGAAAGGGATAACAAAGTTATATAACAAAGATGAAGAAAGAAGGTAGCTCTTCTTCAAAAATATCAGCCTATTATTTTTTGGTGACTAAATGTAAACTTAAAAAGCATGGCATGAAACCATCTCACCAGGGTTCCTACTGCTCCCATTGGTCTGTAAGATCCTTGGAATTGGCTGAAGCCTTTGATTTCCCATAAGATGCCTTAAATCATGCTTTCTATAAAGGTTAAAGAACTACTTTATCAGCTAGGTGTTTTGCTACTGCTACTTTTGCACACACAGGCAGCTGTGATTAACTTATATGCGTCTATAACTTACCACTTCCAAAAATTTATTTTTTCAAAAATGGAGAGCAATAGTTTGTGTTGTTCTATTGTTGTTTTTTTAGACCTGTGTGAGCTGGTTCAGAACTGCTGGAAATGTGGTACAGTGGGAACCAAGAAGCCTGGGTCTTTCATTGCTATTTATTGGCTAAATGACCTTCACCAAATCTCTGAAAACTTAAATTTTTCATATTTGAAAAATAAAGATTCTGTATAAGCGGAGGCACAGATGTCTTTGCAGTCCTAAAATTCTAGAGTTCTTCAAAACTTTGCCATGATGTCAGCTTCCTCTGGGCAATAACACTAGCCTGGTGTTTGTTGACAACTTTTTTATGTAAAAATGTCTTTCTGTTTGAACATCCATCTGCACCATGGTTTCTGTCCCAGATGATGAGTCAGATAAGACCACAGCTTCAATCATTTAGAAGCTGATCATTTTACAGCTAATCTTTCAACTAATTTAGAAAATAGATGAAGTACGAAAATAAGAGAGTAGGGGTGGCGCAAGTGGAAGATTCAACTCTAGCAGAACTGAACTGTTGTGTCCAATATCAATACACCCTGTTCTTGGGAGAAGATCCTTGATACAACTGCTTGTCTGTTTTAGAAAAAAAAAGAAAACATTGGTTTTCTCTAGGAGCTGGTGTTTAAGGCTGCAGATTTACTGGCTGAGAAGGAACAGGAAGGCAAGGAGGGCACCAAATAAAAGATAAGGATTATTTTCCAAAAAGGCCCTGGCCAACTGATACCTGAATCTGGAACATGATCTCCCATATATCTTGGACTCTCCCGTAAATTAATTGGTTCCCCTTTGTGGATGTTTTTGGCCCTTTTCTTATTTAATCCTTGTGTGGCACCATGCTTTGCTATCACACTGCCATTTCCTCTTTGCACTCTTGACAAAACCTGAGTCTATGGAACCTGTAATGGACAGGGCTAATGGGGGCCTTGTTGGTACTTGTCCAATTTCTTGCAAGGAGACTGAATCCACTCTCAGCGAGATTTGTTCTGAAGGGAAGAAGCCAAGTCTTGCCATGTAAAATAATAAATGTGTTTCAGATAACGTATTCTTGTACTTTTTTCCTAGAATAATTAGAACATTCATACAAATAGATTTATTTTCCTTGAAATGTATTTAATTGCCTCTGTTATAAATGACTTGTAAACATGTCCATGCCATCTAATCTTTCTGATTCTCAGTTTGTAAAATGAGGGTGCTGAATTCTATGATCTCTAAGGTCTTTTCCAACTCTAAATTCTATGACCCAATACTTCTATTGTTTAGACAAAAAATAGGTCTGTTCTGAAATGTTCTGTAAGTTAGGCAGCAATCCAAACTGACTTTTTAAGAATTCACATAAGAAAAAAAAATATTCTCACATAGAGTTCTATAGGATGAAGAGAGGGCCCATTCACTATTTGTTTGCTCTCTGTGGGAAAGCTATTCTTTTTTTTCCTCTTTGAACAATATAAGGAAACAACTTATCTTTTACAATTTTTGGATTCAGTTCATGGAGGGTGTCAGTATTGTCTAGTGTTCCCAGTGAGGACGTGGGAGTCTGAGATCCCAGGCCTGGTTCCCAGCTTTTCTGCTCCTTTTGTGACCTTCAGAAGCCACAAAACAACTCTCAAGACTCAGTTTATCTGCCTGAGAAATTGGGCTCTTACTTCTTTACCACAGGGAAAACCTATTCTTAAACATTTTGGAAAAGGATTACAGCAGCCTAAAGAGTTAAGAAGATTAACTTTAGTCTTTCGGGGTGTATACTAACGCCAGTCTCGGGTGCTTCTCCACTGCCTAGCACCAGATGCTTTTGCACAAGTAGTATAGGGTAGAGCATCACAGGCCTAATTCAGAAACTATAAGAATCCAACCAAAATGGGCCTGGCTTGAACTGCAGGTGACCCTTATACACCTGAAACAGGTTTGCTATGTAAAGTATTAGTAAATCAAGTTGAAAGATAAGCAAATGTAGGATTTGGAGCAGGGGACAGGTTGAGGGGGAAGGGGGAATACAAGCCTGATGATTTTGTTGGAAGCATCTACTTCTATATAAACAGTTATCATTTAAATTAAAATGAATCTTAGCTACAGCTTAGGCTGAGCAAATTGTCCTGCATTACTGCAGATATTTTCAGTAATAATTGAAAACTAAAAGCAAACTTCCTATATTATCTGGTCAACTTTTCAGGTAAAAACACTTGGTAAAGTGTAAAGAAAGTGTGACAAACTTAATATTGTTTTAGTGATTTCTCCAAATTAACATGAACCAGTGAAGTTTTACTATTGTCAGAAACTTGAAACAACCCAGATGTTCCTAAAAATCTCATGTATGGAGTGGGTAAATAATATTGCTTATAGTTTCATAGTAACTGCTTGACTCAGAAATAGTCAGGTTGTAAATTTCAAATCAATCCCTAGAACCTCACTGCACAAAACACCAGGTCAAGAAAATAATTATGTTTGAGGTTTACGGTTTAGGATCCAACTATAACATCAGATCAGCTTTTGTGAATAAGAGTACTATTTGATCAGGATTACATCAGTAAGCATGAAATGAGCACTTGGATTTCCCAAGCACATGTGAAAATGGGAAACGCTCTAAAACAACCTTCCCAATACAGGTAGAAATAGCCATTTTGGATATGTACTCCTTCGGCTTTTGTGTAAGGGAATCGAGTCATCATTCAGACATGTTTAAATGCTGCGCTTGAGCTGCTTTTTTGCAAGGTGTGAACATGCTGGAGCTGCACCATGATTCATCATATTAAACTTCATTTGGTAGAAACATTACAAGGGAATAGGTTCTCTGTTTCCTAGGAAGTGCCTCTGCTCTACATTACTTCCTAATCGCCCTGCTGGCCTCTGCCCCTTTATTTCTTTGTAGCCTCTACCCTTAGTCCAGTGTGCGGCTACATTTGGACCAGAGGCCCCCATCCTGTGAAAAATTTAGATGGCTATAGCAGTAATCAAAAAATACCAATAAAGTGTCACCAGTCCTCGCTGGTGATGTGGGATGGCGGGTGAGTGAGATATAAAAATGAATCATGAGGCAAGACATGATTGCTGCTCAGGCAACCATTTCTAAATGTGAGTGCACCCAGGTTGCATAAATGGTTCGGAATATTCTCCGTTAGGCCAAAAGGCTTGCAGATAACGGCATCAACTCATCAGGCTCCAAGGCCCCCAGGGACTCGGGAGCAGAAGAGTTGTTGCTCAAGTGGCCCAGCCAAAAACATTTATATCTCGGCGCTGTTGGATAAGTGGCATCTGCTGACAGGAACTGCTTGGAATAAAGTTGGTTTTAAAAAATAAGCACCACAGCTCTCTGTGTTTAATACAGGACACCACAGCTATATATGCTTAATGCAGGAAGCTTTCTGAGGTGTAAAGAATGGTTAAGTAAATGAGTGGGATACCATTAATCTTGGTTTGTTTCAGCACTACATCTTTAGCAGTTGAAGGCGGGGGTGGAAAAGAAAAAGACTTGCTCCTAGCTCATAACCTGAGTGTTAAAACTGATGTCCTTCCCATTAAGGCCTGTAAACTCATTAGCACATGGCAATTTATCCTCTTTTATTTCTTCTCAATTATCCTATCATCCATTGTATCTGGATCTGATTACCCTTTCCCAGAGTCAAACATTATCTTGTAAATCATTTGCTTTAAGTCCAAGCCTGCCATTGCGCAGCTTGGGATTTGCTTAGGCAGGTAATAAATCAATTAGTATTAAACCTGTGGTGTCATCTATTTTCTTTCCTCGTGCTTAGAAAAAGGAACACCTGAAAACCTAGCTTAGGTTACATCACATTTTCGTGTATGCTTTTGAACAATACAGACACATTTGCTCCTATTCCAAGGGGAAGAAAAGATAAGGGAAAACAAAACAAAAAAAGAAACCCAAATCCTCAGTGAGGGCCTGGAAGACTGATGGCATTACAGGTATGTGGCCCTCATATTTCAGAGGTGACATTTTTAGTAATAATTGGGAATATCTATTATTCAAACATGAATATCAGAGATTCCATTTAAGATGATAGTCTCAATTTTATCCTCAAAATACAGTTATGGAGCCTAAAAGAAGATTGTGGTTCATTTTTTTCTTCTATTTGTCTTTTATGTATGTTCTGTTTCTTAGCACACATAAAAGTTGGCCTGATATGATCAGATAAGAAGAGTGAATAATTTTTAGGTGACTGTCCTCTCTTCCCCTATATATTCTAAAGGATGTCTCTTCTCCCTTTAAGTACTATACTAATTTACTTAATCATTTTATCTGCACTCCTGGAGCTAATGCTTAATCCTTTGGCCGAGTTTCTGAACAGAGAGCCCGACCAAACAATTGTAGCTCAAAATTAAGCCCTGTGAGTTCCTAAATTAAAAGAAAAAAATCATCTAGGGTATCTCAACAATGAGTAGCCTCTCCTAAGCGCTGCCCCATCCATGGGCTATATTAATTAGTGAAGATTCTGGCCCTTCTGCTCGGGGAAGGGGTGCTTGGAAGGGACTGTCAAACACATGGCAGGGCCCCAGCAGGGGAGCTGGTTTTAGCTGTGGAGAACAGTGGTAGAGCTGTGAACAGAGCTGGAGAACGATGAGGTTGGAGGGATTGGATGGCAATGAGTAACAACTGGCCCTGGGTCTGGCTGCTGAGACGGCAGCCAGCCCAGCTCCCTGGATGTACTTTCCTCTTATACATCCTGCCACTGACCTGCCTCACATCAGGGCCTCCTGCCTGCTTCCAGTGGTTCTTCTGGTTTCAGTCCTTGGTTTTCACATTAGAAAAGCACACCCGGCGAGAACATGTGTGTGTTCTTCCTCCTATGGGTGGAGGGAAGAATCCTAATTTAGTAGTTTGTTTATTACTAATACTGGTTAAACTTTCAGTGCGTAGTATTATGGTGGGTACAGGGGTCGCAGATAACCATGCAGCTATGTGGTCCCACCTTTACGGAGGGGATGATGGAAAGCACCTCTGGAATGGTGCAAAGTCCCTCCCCTAGGACAGGGAATTTGAATCGTGGAGTGGGCTTGTTAAAATGCAGACTCTGATTCAGCAGGTCCGTGGTGGGTTTGGAATTCTGCATTTGCAACCAGCTCCCAGTTGACATGGATGCTGACAGTCCATGGCACTTTATATTTTCTTTTCTCATGGCAAGAGTAACTTTTCAGCCATTTACCATATTATTGTTGTTTACAAATGCATCCCTTATTTCCCACTAGGTTCCAAGCCCCTTGAAAATATACTGTTACTGACTTGGTGAATATATAATGATTAATTGCCTTGATTTGTCAACTAGGGGGTCTGGAATCTAAACCCACTTCTGCTGCAAATGAATTTCGTGACAATGATCACTTTCACTGAAATCCCCCCATCTCTATATTGTACAATGCAAGGAGCAGGTGTGGACTAGAATTTGGGTGTTATTTAAAAGCAAGAGCAGGACCCAGGTGTGAATGAAGGAAAAGACTCATGTAGTGGTGGGTCACAGGGAACCCAAGAATGGATATCATGTCTTTAGGGCTCTAGAATTTTTTTTTCTTCCCAGAATGTGGATCCCATGTTGCCAGACCATATAAATTTCCAAGAAGGTGGAAATCTGATTTTTTAAATTAATGTAAAAATCCTCTCACTTTTAAGTGTTGACAAGTAAAATAATTTTTTTAAAAGGAAAAGAAACACTGATAATGAAATGATAACTTTTGCAGGCCAAAGACTGCCTAGTTCGCAGCCTCTGGCTTGGACTAGGCTCAAAAGCTTTCTACCAGCAAACACATAAGAACTACATTCACAAACAGCAGCCACGTCAAACCAATAAGAGCAACATTCATGATGGACAAACCAAACCAATTCCAATGGTGGTTTGGAAGTGGCTGGTGTCTCAGAGCTCTGGACATAGGATCCTGAGTTTCATATATAAGACTGGTGGAAGGGGCTGTGCATTGAGCACTGGCAGGTTATATGAGCTCTCTCAAAGGTATTTGCTCCATGCATGGCTTGTAGTTGGGTTTGTTCACATGTTTACTGTTCTGGAAGTTGTGAAACATGTTTCCAGTTTTTGAGGTGGCTGTACTCACCTGTAAAATATTCCGGAATTATGAGAGTCATTCTCATAGAAATAATGGGGTTTATAGGATAATCCAAAGGAGGTGATAACCCATCAATCAGAGAGTAGTAATCTTTACCTTTTAACTTCTATGATCCCTTTAATAGGAACCACTTGTTCAACTGTCAAAGTTTTTCTCTTGATTCAGGTGCCATCACCAGCCCTGATTAGAGACTACTACACTTTTCCCCAAAGGTGGCGCAGTATAAACGCGGAGATACACTTTATTTTATATGGATATAAATATCCCTAAATTAGGGTGTGCACTTTCTTCATATAACTTTATTTGGTTGCAGAAAAGAATTGAGGGTCACAGAAGAGTATTATAAGAGCTGCATCTTCAGTAGTTCACAACAGATCCATACCTATCTATCATTTTCTGATGTTCAGTTTTTCTGACTTGAGTTCTCTGGAGCTAACCTTATAATGACACTTAGCCTATTTGAATTCTTTTTTTCCCCATCCTTCTTAGATTGTGTAATTGTTTCATTCACATGATGATGTGTCATGTCCTGAATTTTATATCCTGGAAAACACGTAGTAAGTCAAACTTGCTCAGACATGATGACACTACATAGACATGGCTGATTGTAAGAGGAGACAAATGGTTTAGTCTTAGATGTGAGATAAAAATTGGGGTTACTGGCAAGCATTAAATATTTATAAAGCAGCCAATCTTTGGTAGTCATCAGGGAGTGTTTCTGTATGAGGCGTGTCAGGCTTTATAATTAGTTATGGGACTTATTATTATTTGAGTTTTTTGCCATGCTATTTTCTGCCTGTGAAGGACCATTATTTTAAATGTGTAATAAGAAGAGAAATATTGTTTGAGAAAGTGGTCACTTTTCAGTTTTTAAACTTTTGAATAATAATTTATGTGACAGACTCAATCTAGTAGTGACTTTGAATTTTTTTAAATTACATTTTCAAGGATAGTGTTACACCAAAATAAAGATCATGAACTTTAGTGTAAGATAAAAATAATTCTAAAGGTAGGTATCTTCATCTGTCTTAAAACTTTCTCCATTAGGAATAATAAAAACAAAATAAAAGACACAAAGCAAACCTCACATTTTCTTCTGGAAAACACTGTACTTTTGATTCTTAGCAGAAATGGCCTTGTGAATACTTACGGCATTTGTAAATATAACTAAGAAAGGGCTTTTTTTTTTTTTTTTTTTCCTGAAAGAAAGTTGCTACATTACCATCATAAGTTTCTAAAAACTCTTCAGGGAGAGGAAAAGAAAAAAATCCTCCAAACCTTAATAAAAGTTCCCAGCAAAACCATTAGGGATTTCAATTATGAAGCTGTTCTCAAGACTCTTGTAAAGGTTATTTGTTGAACAATTTCTCTGTAACAGTGTATGACAAATTACTCGCTTGGCACTGTAAATGATGCACAAGCCCTTTAATTAGAATATAGCACTCGATATCTTTAAGACCTTCTAACATTTCTTAGTTAATATTATTCCTCATGAGCCTTTCCAAAGAAATGAGGACTTGTTTGTAGAATCGAAATGGGTGATGGAGGAGGGTGGACAGGGACCTTGCACAGGGCTGGGAATATCCAGAAGCCACACAAAGAAAGGAAGGCTCTGACCCCAACAAGTTTTGATTGCAAAGGCGACTCTGATAACAGAGTTTTTTTTTTATTATCCATTGCTTTTAGCCTTATTTACCATCAGGCTCTCTTGCCACAAGCATGCTTTTTAGTTCTGACAGCCCTGAATTATGGCCATTGTGGGATCCTATCTCATTAACTGAAATGGGAGAATAAAACATCAAACAATCATAAAAATAGTTTGGCACTGTGAAACCACTTAGGAGCAGCTGTCAAACAGGTTGGAAGATAAACTTCTAAATAAAAAGAATAGAGACAGCTGCAGTGTCCTGCCATATGCTTCCTCGGCATTATAGACTCCTTAATAATATGAAGTGCCCGTGTTTATGCAGAATAGGCCAGACACTCCATATATGATATTGATTATGCCTTAACCCCAATTTAGTAAAGAAGTACTCCTCCTTTTCCTAATCAGATATTGCAGAAGCAGTTTTCTGAAAGAAAAAAATGTCCCTAATGCCAAGCCATATTTTATCTGCGAAGGCTGTGGCGGGAGATAGGGCTTTGTCTTGACTGTCATTGTGGCTAGGAGCCCAGTTTTAGGACAGCAAGGCCCCTCTGGGGCTCTTCTCCAGCAGTTTCCATCCAGCGATTCAAAAACATACATCTTTATCAAGCTGTTGTTGTCAGACAACATTAGATAATTAATAGGCCATTTGTCAGCCTGCACAAAACATGTTAAAATCCCAAACACAATCAGGATAAATATAGTTGCTTGCTCTCTGAAGGCTTTTTGTTCTGTCATGCAGCCATTGCAGGCAGATATTTGCTATTAAATGAGACTCATTATTAATCACATCTAATGTTAATTAATTAACCACCTCTGTATATTGAGGGCTCTCTGTGACTTTCAATTGTTTTAAGAAGCTAATTGGTAACTTAGCAGTTTACATCTAAGTTACTATTTCCCATTCCATTCATGTAAGGATTTTATTTGGTGAAATATATTTGTTTGCATTTGAGAAATTTCCCTTAAAAAGCCAGCAGTTAAAGTTCTGTGTATAACTATGCAAGAAGTGATTAGGGAATGAAAGCTATGGAAAAATATGTAGCTGCCATTGCTTTTTCTCATGCCTAGCTTATTGAAAATAATTTTTTGTTATTTTCAAACCTTACAGAAAAATAGAAATATTCAACTCTAATTTTTAGTAGATGATGAAAATAAGGATGATACCCAGGGTTAGCCAAATTAGGTATTCATTCATTCACTCACTCATTCAAGAAATATATGGCAAGTATGTGTGCTCAGCTATTGGTCAATTCCAGGCCTTGTGGGAAACCTGGCCCCTCTGAAGCCGGCGCAGAACTGCATTTTAGTTGTTTGAAACTGTGAGCTACTAGAAAGCAGGGACTTGACATCCATGATACACATCCCCTTTGTGTCTAGTACTGTGTTCCTTTACGTGGTAGATGCTGAGTTTGTATTCCTAGAACTGAATCAACAAATTCCAATACAATGTAAATATCTTCTAAATTCTGACTGACTCATGAAGGAAGATGCATAATATAATTAACAGAAATAATAATATCAACATTGATCCATCATAGATTTATGTAGTGCATTTCAGTTTACCAATGGATTTCCCATATGTTAACTTATTTAATTTTTAAAATGTTAACTTATTTAATTTAAAAATTTTTAACAATCATTTTTGTCCTACAAATAAGGGAAAGGCGTGTGTTTCCTAAGCAGTCTCAAGCTTGACCTCTATCACTTGGCCTTTCAAAGAAATCAGCTTTGCTCTGCCAGTCTACCAAGCTGTAGTTGGGCATCGGCCGTGAGTAGTGATGACCCGGCTTACCAAAGCATCTGAGAATATTGATTGATGTCTATTGGAAGATTTGATCCATTCAAAGTTTTTTTAAAAATCGATGGCTATTATTTGGGAAGGACTACCTTGAGGGATCACATATATAAAAAAGCATTACTAGAGACTAGTATTTTGAGAAGAGGAATTATTTGAACATTTCATCAGATAAACAGACAAGCAGAAGTAAGGAGAAAAACAGTTCCCCATCTTTGTGCTTTAAATTATCAGTTAGCAGTGGGGCTTTATGCCTCAGTTTAAGGCAAACCATGTCTATTTTAAACATGCTCGCAGGATAGCTTTTTTCCACATCTATTATGAAAACATTTTAATGTCTTCTGTAATTCTTATTCATATGTAATTATGAATGTCTCACTAAGCGATAGAAATTTTGTGTAAACTGTATTTTACATAGAAATAAAAATCACAAGAATCATCAATGGTATAATACACTAAAGACATCTCTCTAAAGTGTAGCATACAAAATATAATTTATAACATTGCTCATTGAGACCTAGAATATTTTCCCTCACTATCTGGAACTTCTAAGAAATAGGCATAAGAAAGAATGGGACATTTTTCCACAGTTGATGACATGGATGGTGGAGTACCTGGAGATATATGTAGTGTTAAACAAACAGGTAAACATGTAACAAGCAAACCAAAAACCCAACAGCCAAGCCAGAGCTTTCTATCTACTTTCCCTTCTCTTTATAACCACTGGAACCTCTTCACAGCTAAGATGGTTAATATTTTCATAGTACATATTCCTATTCATTTTTACAAGTAGAGTTCTTTTTATGTATAAGACTTTTCTTTACAGAATACTTTTTAAATGGGAAATAAGATGCTGCGCACTTGTGAATATCACATTTTGCTTTTTTTTTTTTCACCATCTTAAATAAAGTCTAAATGAGAGAGAGACAGAGAGAAGTATTTTCAGTCCAAATACATAGGGCATGAAAATCTCACACACACATGCATAGAACAACTTCAGAGCTTAAATTGTTTTATCCCTGTTGAAGGGCTGTTGTTGAATTATGTGTAGGGTGGAGAAAGATGACTGGATTAAAAAAATGTCCTTTAGCTAACAAAGATCTAGATTGGAATTTAACTTGAACCAGTTTGAGTGATATTCCAGAGGCTTTTATTGCTGGAAATAATATTGAATGGAAAACAGTTAAGCTAAGTGGAAATATTTTATATCATAGGATGCCATATTCTGGATTATAATTATATGGCTTTTGCATTCGGTTCCCATTATGAACTTGTGAAAGATCCTTTTCTTCTTATGCAGAGCCTTGGCCTCATTTGTAATAACAGCTCCTGATGCACAGCTTTTGTGAAAATTTCTGCTTTTACTTTTTTAAGGTAAACTCAGTGGTATGTACGTGTAAGGAAGTAGGGAGATTGGCCACGTTGACTAAATCCATTGTCAGGATCTGTGTGTTTTCACGCTCTCTCTCTGAGGTAAAGAATGAAGGCTCCCTTCAAGAGAACACAGCGTGACTACTCCAACTGTCTTCTCTGGCCTCTTTTTTGTCATCATTTTTTTTTTTTCGTTTTGTCCTGAAGATGTAAGCTGCTGTTGTCTAGAGGGAGTGGAAAAGGTTTTTCTTAGGGATGTTAATTTCAAGGCTGAGTAGTTTCCAGTCACCAGGCCTTGCTGGAAGTTTCCTTCAAGATTTGCTTGGAGGCAGCAGGGGCCTATTTGTCTCACCTGCAAGGAACATGGCCTTAAAAAAAATAACAAGAACTTTTGGAAGCTTTTTTAATTAGCACCTTGGAGTCTTTGGCTTTAGACTGCTGATTTGTTAATTCTTGTGGTGATTTTCTTCCTGGTGCTGTGTGTTTAAAGTACTAAATCGTGAATTTCCCGTACAGTCTTCAAAGCTTTTCACTCAAGTGGCCAAATAGGTTTACGTTAGTGTCTTGAGCATGACACATATTTCAGAAATAATATTTGTTCTGGCATAGCCTAATAACTATAAAATTGAGATGCAAACCAGAAAAAATTTCTTTAAAGTCCGTAATGCCATTTTAGAGGGAAATATTCTTTATTCCCTAGACAGAGTAAGAAGCTGCTCTTGTCCAAATTATGAGTTGTGAAACCTTCAGACATAAAAGAAAGCAAAATTGTTGACATGTTATTGGGACATAACTTTTCTCCCCAGTGTTTCTTTGTTGTAGAGAGAATAAGGAAAAGTAAAACAGCAGCAATCTTTCTACAATATTCTTACAGAGGAAAAAGAATTAGAGGGAATATGCTACCCAAGTTTACACCTGCTTTGTAATTCTTTGGTCTCCAGTTTGACACCATTAAGGAAAGTGAGGATTTCAGCCAATTACAGCTGATGGTTTCATTGTATTTCTTTTTTTCCGATGGTATCACATCCTATATTTCTTTACGTATTGTCTCAGACATACATGCATGTAGTTGGATAATGGGATATTCAACATAGCTTACCGCCACCTCACCAAATTATTAAGCTATTTCAAAACAAGAAATAATGCTGAGGGAAAATTTGTATTAGCTTGATTGATTATCTTATTTTAATCCATATTAAAGCTTTAAGTCTCTAGGCGTGGCTCTTTACTTCTAACACCTCATAAATTATAGCTATAATGAAGCAGTCATTTATCCTGAGCTGATGATAAATGGCTTGCCCTAGGAGGAACTAAAGAATAGGCAAGTAGATCATTTTCATATTTGGTGAAAACAATATTAAGTACCCAGACCTCAGTGATTGCCCTAATAAATGAATAATCTGAGGTGAGGGGCTTGGCAGTCAGTGTAAAAAATAACCTGAGCTTTCTCTGTCATTTGTCAGGCTTTGCTATGACAGCATGCATTATGGGTAAATGAGCAATCAGCAAGAACTATGTTATGGCTGGGATGTTTTTGAGAAATTTATCATATGCATTGCTTAGTACCTTAAGACCTTAAGGCTTAATGGCTATAGTGCATGACTGCAAGTGAGCACAGTTCCTATTTACCATGGTATGCTTCATTTGTGCTCCATCTCTCACCTTAAAGAAAGAAAAGACCTTTCGTGATTGAGCTTCATTTGGCTTTGCTTTCAAAATGTTAAGGTCTTTATATGATGTTCTCTCTGTTGACAGATACTACTCCTGGTAGATTGGCTACAGGAGATTTTGGAGTCGTGATTTCAAATAAAATTTCAGGGTCAAAAATTTATCATGGTATGGAGGTGTCAAAATCTGGATTCCAGTGTACCTGAAGCCAAATGTATTATGGAAAGTGACATTACCTCCTTATAATAGTATTAAATATTTAATGGTACTTAAGAATTAAATGATTTTCCACCCTCCTCAAACCACCGAACAGTTGATCTCTTTCATTTATTACGGAATTGGAAATAATCAAGAGTAGTTGAGATGTGAATGCTTCATTGGAATTATGCAATGTGTTATGACAATGTCTGACTCATTATGGTTTGCTGCCATATGCAGTGAAAAAGGAAATCAGGATGCAAACTCCTCTTCCCAGGCCAGGGGTCTCACATGCACACTCCTGTGGATGCTATTCTAAAATATTTGATTAAAGATAATGTGGCTTTACCAGTACCTCTCTTGCCATAATATCCCAAATTTACAGGTGCCTTTGAAGTTAGATGTACACTGAATTAAAAATCTGGCTTTACCCCTAGTTGGATAAATTTGTTTATTAGTTACTCTGAACATCATTTTACTCCTGTGTAAAATGGTGAAAACACTGTCTTGAAGGATTGTTGTGTGGCACAAATGAGATAATGTATAGAAGATGCTTAGCATGTGATGGGCGACCTATAAATAAATACTAAGTTAGTTCTATATCTTCTTAAAATCCTGGTCAGGCACCTAAGCATTCCCACAACGTATAACACGAGTGGCATTTTACAAGATATGGTAGCAAGGCTAGTTGCTCAGTATATTAGATCAAGGAGCTCATGAGACAAATTCAATTACATGAAAATATTTTTTGAATGTCTACTATAGGTCAGGTTCCAGTGATGACCTAAAGATCACCTCACCATTGGTTGCCATCATCACTATAATAGCTTCTAATTTCTCCCCTCTCCTAGCTCTCATCCATAGCAGTTTCCAGTTGAATTTCCAAACTACAGATCTGATCACACCATGACTCCTAGTTGCCCAGCCATTTAGCACCACAAACAAGGGTTTAAATAATACACTTCTGACTTACCATTTCAGCTTCATTTCTTGCCTTCTCTTTTATGCCTATATTCCAGCTATGCAGAGTTACTCACCAATCTTTCATTTGTAGGTCACATTTGTGCTTTTTCTTTGCCTAGAATGTACTTCCTTCCACTCAACTGTCTTGGCATGGCCAAATCCTTGTTCGAGATGTATTTCAAATTTGAGCTCTGGTGTGTAGCCTTTCCAGTCTTTCCAGGTGGAGATGGTTTTTCTTCCTCTTAGTTGTTTCCTGAATACTTTGTGTGTAATAAACCACTCATCATGTTGTGCTGTAAACATCTGTTTGTGTGCTCTGCTTCCCACTATGGATTCCTTGAAGACAGTGACAGAGTTGACATTTTTACTTCTAGAAATTAACATGGTACCTGGAACACAGTAGACGCTTTATAAAGGTACTTTGTAAACATAAGAATCAATGAGAAAGGTATGATTCTGCCTTTCTTTGGACATCTCAAACTCAGAGTCAGAAAAGTTCTTGGTGGGGGGAGATAGTAGATAACCATCCACCTCTTCTTGTGATCTTAACCTACAAAGCCTCACATCCTGCATTATTCATCTGTTCCCTCCCCCAGTCAACTAAAATTTACAAAATGCCTGCTTTGCCTGGCCACCTTCTAGCTACTGAATGAGAAGGTGCATTTTTATAGGAGAAGATGGAGGTGGAGCAGGAGAACTCTAGGGCATGGGTGGCAGAGGGCACCAATAAGACTTAATTCTTCCACCCTTGGGAATTGTAGACATCTTCACAAGGGGTCAAGAAATTGGGTGGTTCAGAGCAATTTCTTTTACATCTCAAGGATGAGGACGACTTGAACTAATGTAGAATCTTCTAGATTGTAGATAAAATGAAGGAGTTGGATTTCAATATTTTACAATGAGGATCCCTTTTCATAACATAAAAAATTCTTAGACCTGTAAGTATTTATTTGTTGACAAAATTATACTGAAAAAAATAACTGAAAATTCAGTAACTGTTAATTAATTTTCCACTTAGTGAACCACAATGGCATGTGCAGGGAGTGCCTAAAGCTTGGTGCACCCCCTGAACAAGCCATCCTGATAGGGATGAGGGCAGTAGCACTGCATAGTCATTAGGAGCATGGGCTTTTGAATCAGGCAGACTTGGGTTCAAATCTTGGTTCTGACACCAGGTATATGATCATGAGAAGCTCTCTCAGTCTTTATTTCCTTAACTGAAAAAACAGTAATAGTGACCTCACAGTGGGTGCAGGTGTGGGATTTAAGATAATAAAGGTAGATAAAGATAACGCACAACACACATAACTACTACCCACTTAATTATCAGGAAAGGGAGGGTAGCTTAGCAAGTTCTATGATGTAAACTCAGGGCAAGGTGGCTCTGTGGAAGACCAGGCTTATTTGTGTAGCGTGGAGAGTGTCTGTATTAGTTCGGTTTTATGCTGCTGATAAAGACATATCTGAGACTAGGAAGAAAAAAAGGTTTAATTGGACTTACAGTTCCACATGGCTGGGGAAGCCTCAGAATCATGGCAGGGCAAGTGGCAAGAGAAAATGAGGAAGAAGCAAAAGCGGAAACTCCTGATAAACCCATCAGATCTCGTGAGACATAGTCACTATCATGAGAGTAGCAAGGGAAAGACTGGCCCCCATGATTCAATTACCTCCCCCTGGTTCCCTCCCACAACACGTGGGAATTCTAAGAGATACAATTCAAGTTGAGAGTTGGGTGGGGACACAGCCAAACCATATCATTCCACCCATGGCCCCTCCAAATCTCATGTCCTCACATTTCAAAACCAATCATGCCTTCTCAATGGTCCCCCAATGTCTTAACTAATTTCAGCATTAACTCAAAAGTCCACAGTCCAAAGTCTCATCTGAAACAAGGCAACTCCCTTCCACCTATGAGCCTGTAAAATCAAAAACAACCTAGTTGCTTCCTAGCTACAATGGGGGTACAGGTATTAGGTAAATACAGCCATTCCAAATGGGAGAAACTGGCCAAAACAAAGGGGTTACAGGGCCCATGCAAGTCCAAAATCCAGTGGGGTAGTCAAATTTAAAGCTCCAAAATGATCTCCTTTGAATCCAGGTCTCACATCCAGGTTACACTGATGCAAGAGGGGGTTCCCATGGTCTTGGGCAGCTCTGCCCCTGTGGCTTTGCAGGGTAGAGCCTCTCTCTTGACTGCTTTTATGGGCTGGCACTGATTGTCTGCAGCTTTTCCAGGTGCACAGGGCAAGCTGTCGGTGGATCTACCATTCTGGGGTCTGGAGGATGGTGGTCCCCTTCTCACAGCTCCACTAGAAAGTGTCCCGGTAGGGACTCTGTGTGGGGGCTGTGACCCCACATTTCCCTACTGCACTGCCCTGGCAGAGGTTCTCCATGAGGGCCCCGTCCCTGCAGCAAACTTTTGCCTGGGCATCCAGGCATTTCCATACGTCTTCTAAAATCTAGGCAGAGGTTCCCAAACCTCAATTCGTAACTTCTGTGTACTCACAGGCTCAATGCCACTTGGAAGCTGCCAAGATTTGGGGCTTCCACCCTCTGAAGCCACAGCCCAAGCTCTATGTTTGTTCCTTTCAGCCATGGCTGGAGTGGCTTGGACACAGGGCACCAAATTCCTAGACTACAAACAGCATGGGGACCCTGGGCCCACCCACAAAACCACTTTTTCCTCCTGAGCCTCCAGGCCTGTGATGGGAGGGGCTGCCATGAAGGTCTCTGACATGGCCTGGTTACATTTTCCCCATGGTCTTCCTACTTATGCAAATTTCTGCAGTTGGCTTCAGTTTCTCCTCAAAAAATGGGTTTTTCTTTTCTACTGCATCATCAGGCTGCAAATTTTCTGAACTTTTATGCTCTGTTTACCTTTTAAAATGGAATGCTTTTAACAGTACCCAAGTCACCTCTTGAATGCTTTTCTGCTTAGAAATTTCTTCTGCCAGATACCCTAAATCATCTCTCTCAAGTTCAAAGTTCCACAGATCTCTAGGGCAGGGGCAAAATGCCTCCAGTCTCTTTGCTAAAACATAGTAAGAGTCACCTTTGCTCCAGTTTCCAACAAGTTCCTCATCTCCATCTGAGACCACCTCAGTCTGGATCTTACTGTTCATATCACTATCAGCATTTTTATCAAAGCCATTCAACAAGTCTCTAAGAGGTTCCAAGCTTTCCCACATTGTCCTGTCTTCTTCTGAGCCCTCCAAACTGTTCCAATCTCTGCCTGTTACCCAGTTCCAAAGTCATCGGGTATCTTTTCAGCAACACCCCACTCTACTGGTACCAATTTACTTGTTTTCATGCTGCTGATAAAGACATACCCGAGACTGGGAAGAAAAAAAGGTTTAATTGAGCTTACAGTTCCACATGACTGGGGAGACCTCAGAATCATGGCGGGGGGTGAAAGGCACTTCTTACATGGTGGCAGCAAGAGAAAATGAGGAAGAGGCAAAAACGGAAACCCCTGATAAACCCATCAGATCTCATGAGACTTATTCACTATCACGAGAATAACACGGGAAGGACCAGCCCCCATGATTCAATTACCTCCCCATGGGTTTCTCGGACAATGCGTGGGAATTCTGGGAGATAGAATTCAAGTGGAGATTTGGGTGGGGACACAGCCAAACCATATCAGTGTTGCTCATGAAAATTTGATGGGGAGTGTCTAGAAATCTGTGACGAGAAGGATGGGCTATGTTGTGACACATCTGGTAAAGGCTTTCAGGTATCTTCCTTGATGTGAGAACTGAGAGTCCTCATAAGATTTGGGAGTAAGGGCAACAAGATCAAAATGATACTTCAGGAACTCTGAAAAAGATTTGGAAGTAGACGGTAGGAAAGACAGGGCAAAGGATAACTTAAATATGTTTCCAAAGTTATCTGCTATCAGTACGAAGAAAGAGCCCTGAGATGCAGTTACGAGAAACTTATGAAAGAGTGAGTTTGGGGATGAAAATATGGGGATTATAAGAAATTCTCTATTTAGTGGGATTTGATGTGAAAAGGGCTCACAGACCTCAAGAGAGTGGAGGAGCCAGAGCTAACTGTCTAGTGCTGAGAGTCCTCTTCTGTCCTCAGAGAGAACTGAAGCAGTTGTTCAGAGTAGCTGGACTTTTCCCTCTGCTCCTCAGGGAGCGATTGCTAAAATGAAAGCCCAAACTGACCTCTGCTGTGTTTTCAGATGAGCACAGCAAGCATCAGACCCAGCACTGTCAGTGGGAAACAGCGGAAGAGTATTGACAGGAGATGAGCCTGTTCAAACAGGATAATGAAGAATAAAATAAATGCCATGGGATTGGATAAGATGGAGGCTGTTGGCAAAGTCAGAGAAGGGCTTTTCATGGAATGATGGGAACAGAAGACAGGTTAAAGCCTTAACTATTTGAGGGCAGATAGAGAAGGCATTCTGTTTTTTGTTTTGTTTCCCTGCTTCTTAACACTGTGATTGGTTCCTAAGATGGGCAAAGATATTACAATATAAACATGGGTATTTAATGCAAACCTATTTCATAGGTCACAATAGGTCTGGGGGTAGATTGGGGCTACATTTCTTCCCCCTTCCCTTCCCCCCACAGAGAGTAGTGCAGCGCCTTAAACACCACAATAGTTACACCATAAATATTTTATGACTGAGTGAGGGTAATGAAGGGACCTAATGTGAGGGGCATGAATGGAATCTTTGATGGTGGCATTTGGAAGAGAGTCAAGGAGCCTGCTCACAGGGAAGAGACCCCACTGGAATTTCCATTAGCAATATATTCTTTTCCATGGGATACCAAGAAATTTCAAAGCAGATTGGAAGGAGAGAAATCCCAGTTCTGGTAGATACTTTCAAATATTATGAGTAGAAAACATAATCTTTATAAACTCATTGTGAATTTTTTTTTTGATGCTGTGGTGGAATAACTCCTCTTTCAAGGGGTTTATTCACTGAAATTCAGCAGACAGTTACTGAGCACCTACTGAATGTTAGACACTGGACTAGGTTCTGTGGAAGTGTTGAAAAGAATACAGACCTCCATTCAAATGACTGTAATACAAAGCAATGTATTAGGGCCATAAAGATACTACTCCATTTGACCAATTCTGTATTCAGGGTCAAAAACTATAGATAAAAAAAAATGTGAAAACCTCATCGATGGTGGTGTTTCCAAAGTTATGGGGCACCTTGAGTCCAGTAGTAGAAAAGAGACCACAAAAACTGTTTCTGTGCCTTCATCTGCAATAGCCTCACTTTTAGAAAACTCTTCTTATTTGTTTGTTTTGCCTGTTTGCCTCTTTTGATGTCTTTATTCTTCCACTAAAAGTTAGTGGTGATTGTCTCTACAATCTCCTTAATATATGATTCTTTGACATGAAACATCTGAAGCTTCCTTTCCTGGCATGGAAGAGATTACATTAGTATACCCACCTAATTGGGATACTTACCTGCCTAGTCACTATGGATATTTTTATCTTGTTACTAGCAACCTCTTATGTTTTCTGTGCTTACTAGAAAATAAAAGCAGACTATTAAAACTCTCTAATTCATACTTTAATGGCATATAGAAGTTACTCATAAGAAGTGTAACACAAGCCTGGGCAAGGTGGCTTACACCCTGATCCCAGCACTTTGGGAGACTGAGGTAGGCAGATCATCTGAGGTCAGGAGTTCGAGACCAGCCTGGACAACATGGTGAAACCCCGTCTCTACTAAAAATACAAAAATTGGCTGGATATGGTGGCTCATGCCTGTAATCCCAGCACTTTTGGAGGCTGAGGTGGGTGGATCACCTGAGGTCAGGAGTCTGAGACCAGCCTGGCCAAAATGGTGAAACCCTGTCTCTACTAAAAATACAAAAATTAGCTGGGTGTGGTGGCATGTGCCTGTAATCCCAGCTACTCAGGAGGCTGAGGTAGGAAAATTGCTTAAACCTGTGAGGTGGATGTTGCAATGAGCTGAGATTGTGCCACTGCACTCCGGCCTGGGCAACAGAGAGAGACTCCATCTCAAAACAAAACAAAACAAAACAAAACATAACAAAACAAAACAAAACATTAGCCAGGCGTGGTGGTGGGTGCCTGTAATCCCAGCTACTCAGGAGGCTGGGGCAGGAGAATCACTTGATCCCGAGAGGTGGAGGTTGCAGTGCACTGAGATTGCACCACTGCACTCCAGCCTGGGTGACAGAGCAAGACCCCCCCTTTTTTAAAAAAAAAAAAAAAAGAAGAGAAGAAGAAGTGTAACATAGCTAAAAAAAGCATCTTTTATTTCTGATATTCCCATCTGCCAAAAATTTTATGCATATTTGACATAATTGCAGACAAGTCCATTGTAGCAACTAAAGTCTTTCTACATGCACGTAATACCATGGTGTTATCTGAGATTTGAGATGTTGTGCATCTCAGATTTGCTAAGGAAATGTAAAATGAACATTTTTCTGTCTCCTATAGTCTTTCTATTTTTTGATAAAGATAGAATTCTTGGGTTTGGTGAAAAGGACATATGCTTACTAGTATATGTCAGTGAATGTGCTAACAGGCTTGTACTGGTACAGAGTTTTAAAAATGGGTATGATTCAAATAGTTAAGTTGCTATATACACTCAAAGTATTGTTTGGTGATAGAAATTATTATTATTGTAACATTTTTCATTTGGTACAAAATCTTTGTCATACAGCACAGAAACGTGAATATCTTGGTTGCGCTGCTTTAGAGATGAAGGTTCTGTCCAAGGCACCAGTGGCTTGAATTTCTCCTGGAGGGCCATGGACTCTGTCTGTCCACTCAGCTCAGGCTGAGCTGTCACATCAGCCAGCTTGGGAAATGGCTACACGTGTGTCTACCCAGGCTGCCCAGAGCAATGTCCAGGATTATTAGACTCATTGTTATCTGTATTCCTCATGTCAGTGCAGTTTCTGCTCCTCTAGATTATTTAAACTATTTGGGAAATTAATTGTGCACCTAAGGTATTGTCAGCTCTGCAGATAGGAGGATCAGCTGGCCTCTGTGCCTTTAATGAGATGAAATTTTCTCAATGATCCTGGCATTTAATCCTTGGTAGACCACCCAACATGAATATCTCTTCATATCCAGAGGTGATTACTTGACTCTTGGGTCTGGGGTGAGCTGTCTAAACTGGTGGAGAGAAGGGGCTAGTTGTGTTCAATTTCTCATCTCCCCCTCCCAACATCACCAATATGAAGGGGAAAGAGAAGTTGTTTCCTTCAGAAGCTTTGGAGGGCATATGGTTTATCCCTAAAAAGATAAGCAATGATAACAGGTCTCATTACAAGTATGACAATTGTAACTTGACATAAAATAATCCAAACCTTGTCAATTCACTCAATTGCAAACTATTTAGAGTGTTGTCTTCCCCCACCCCAACCCCACTCCCTCCTCCCACCCCATCCCCAACCCTTCTAGCACCTTACATGCCAACAGGCTTCCATCTTCCTTCAATCCCTTGCTCATTGGGTTTCTCCTGCCTGGAATGCTTTTCTTGGACCTCCACTTGGCAAATTTTACTCATCTTTCAAGGCTTCCTCCATGAAACCTTCCTTGGCCCCAGCATGGGCTCCACAACCCCTCTGTTTTGATTCTCTGTCTATTAAAGCATTTCGCATTTCAACAAGAAGGCTTCCAAACAGGATTGTGAGCTGTGTACAGCCAAGCAAAATTTTCTTAATTATTATTATTTTATTACACAATTCTTGATATATTGAAAAGAATATATATATACACATATAAAACATAACATATATGATATATGTAGAAGTAATGGAATATAAAAATAAAATGAACACTTGTGAACTCACTACCTAACTCAGGAAGTGGAACACAACCAAATTATTTTATCTCTCTATGTGCATTTTCCCTATTTCATTCTTCTGCCTTACTCTAGAAGTAAGCCCTCCTCTGAACTTTAATCATTCTTCTACTTTAAAAAATGGTTTTATTGCTTATGTATGTATTACCAAACAATATATTGTTTGGCTTTGCTTGTTTTTGAGTTAGAAATTTTTTCCTGGGTCTTGCTTTTCTACATGCAATATTTTGTTTCCAAGATTCACCCATGTTATTCATTTTCACTGTTGTATAATATTTCATTTTGTGACTATACCACCGTTTATTTATTCATTTTCTTGTGGATGTGTCTTTTGGGTTTGCAGTTTTTCATATAAGGAATGTGGACAAGAACAGCCTCAAACATGTCTTCTAGTATGTACGTACAAGACTGGAATTGGCATGTCAGGGATATAGCACAAGATAGTACAATATTGTTTGGAAGTAATTGTGCCAATTTACACACACATCAGCAATGTGCAAGAGTTTCTGCATTCTTCACATGTTTATACCACTTGGTATTACCCTATTTGCCCATCTAGGAGATGTAAAATACTATCTCATTACAGCCTTAATTTGCATTTGATTTCACATGTTTGTGGACCTTTTGTGTTTCCTATTTAGTGAAATCCTGTTTATGTCTATGGCCTATTTTAACATTGAGTTTTTGTTTTAGTCTTATTTATTTTAGAAGTATTCTGGATACTAATATATTCTGGATACTAATATTTAGTTAATAATATATTAACTATATTAATATTAAATAATATTAATAATATTAATATTCTGGATACTAATCCTTAGTTAATTATGTATATTTTTAAATATCTTTCCTAGTTTGTATTTTCTTTCCTTATGCTATCTCTAAATGAACAGAAGGTCTTATTTTAATGTAGTCTGTTTTATTTTAGAAGTATTCTGGATACTAATATATTCTGGATACTAATCTTTAGTTAATAATATATTAACTATATTAATATTAAATAATATTAATAATATTAATATTCTGGATACTAATCCTTAGTTAATTATATATATTTTTAAATATCTTTCCTAGCTTGTCTTTTCTTTCCTTATGCTATCTCTAAATGAACAGAAGGTCTTATTTTAATGTAGCCTGTTTTATCAGTCTTTGCTTTTGTGGGTAGTAATTTGTAGGTCTTGCTTGAGATTGTTTTTAATTTATGTTTTAATCTTTGCCCCCAGCACCCAACCTAGATTCACAATTACAGTAAATTTTGGTTGAAAATAATGAATTAATAAATACTATGGACAGAAGATTAATAAAAAGTTGTTTTATTTGCCAAACACACATGGTTTTAAATGATTGGATCGAACACTGCATATTGGAACAAGAAAACCCGATAGTACCTGAAACATTTCTTCACGTGCTGGCTGTGGCCATCTCTATGGCCAGCCAGTACCCCATCCATATCCCTTCACCATTTCTGTGCATATTCACGTGACTTCCAAATGCTTTGCCTGAGACTGCCCGGCCAGAGCATGGGGCAGGTCAGAAGTGTGAGGAATTACATCCCCTGGGATAAGCTCTCAACAAATGACTGATGGGAATCGGTGGATAAAACCCCAGATCCCTCACCTCAGCTGTGCTGATCTAGAGTTCCCTAGTGCTAACTCGATTGATAGCACACCCTTTGTTGACTTCTGGCCCTTCTCTGTCTCACTGCATACTCCCTTAACACACGTTTCCTGGGACCACCTCTGAAATAAACTACGGACTCTTGAACCATTGTCTCAGGGTCTGCTGGTGCAATTAAGAATGTTTGAATGTCAAATTTTGACTCAGAAACTTGAATACTTATGATTTAGGATTGAATAATCTTTAAAAAAAAAACAAGCAAAATGTTCTTATTGTTATCCTGTAATTGGGCAGCTATTACTGGGTGAAGCCCAGAGTGAGAAGGTGTATAGTTTAGGGATAAAGCGCGTGGGCTCTAGAGCTAGACAATCAGGGTTTGAATTATGGCTGTTTAAAAATCATTTATTCTTTTTCCTAATATTACTGCTTCAATTTCCTTACATATAAAATGGGGATGAGAGTCATATCTACCTCATGGGCTATTATGAGGATTAAATGAGCTAATATACGTAGAGTGCTAAAACTAGTGTTTGGCTCATGGTTGTGTCGTATACTTTCCTGGAGCCATTGAATAATAAAACATCCCTTGATACATTTTAGGAGGATGAGATTTTTATGCATTTCTTGTCACTCTATATATGACATTGCAATTAGGCTCTGCTAAAAGTTTAGGAAGTCTGGTCTAGCCATTCAAAAATAACTTTCTAATTGCTTTTAAGGAAAAAGTTCTAATCTAAGTGTTGAACTCTACTCTGAGACCCCCTTTAGCACCTGGAGAGAAGGAAAAATGCCATATGAAAACACGTTTCTCTATAAATCTACGCTTTTCATTTTTCTTTAACTCAAGAATAGCTTTACCCCTATTTGCTGGGTGTTACAGGTGGACAAGAGGGAAATATATAAAGAAGGTTTTTGTCTCCAAGAATTACATTCCAAAAAGTTTGACTCTGTTAAATGGAGAGAGTTATAATTTGAATCTCTGTGGTTATCAAAGAAGGTGCTTTTGTGAATATTATGTTAACTAATCTTGGAGATTCTATCATGGGATCCGGTTTGAGTTCCTTAAACTTTTCTCTTCTTATGACTAATAATTGCAAAAAAGTTAATATTTGAATGTCTCCTATACGTTTAACAATAAACCTTCCTGTATAGAAACTAGGCTTTATCTGAGACCCAATTTAATAGATTGATTTTAGTTAACCAATACATTTTCCTTGCATTTCAAAGTATTTGGGACACAGCTTAGTTCAATGGCAAGTTAACTGGATTTGAAGCCAGAAAATCTGGCATTGTCCACCCCCAATTAGATTTATGACAGTGGAGAATATTAGTTTAATATTGTAAGCCTTGGTTTCCTTATCTGGGAGATGGAGAAAATAATGAAATCTAGTTACAGAGCTGTGTGAATCATAAAGTCAAATACAAAACTCTAATTGGTTCATAAAAGATTTTATTTTACTCACGAGACTTTTAAAGTACTCTGAAATTATTTTTAGCCGTAGCAAAATAACTTCTTCATAATTTTTTCTCTTTTATTCTCTATGATTCCAGAAAGAAAATTACCCTTAAAATATATTTTTTCTAATGAATAAAATAATCCTGTTATGTCGTTCAAGCTCAAGTATTTTCAGTTGTATTGACTTGGACTCTTTAGTCAAAACATAAAAACTTATTGAGAATAAAAAATTTCCAAAAATTTTTAATATTCTTAATCCAGAGTCATATTTGTTTTTCAATATAAATAACATTGAATATTTATCCAATTCAGTCAGTCTAACACATAGTTTTTGAGCCCTAATTATGTGTTAGTTACTGTATTAGGCACTGAAAAGTGATTGAAAAAAAGGATTTTTTATTTGGCAACATAGTATCAATGTCAAAAGAGAAAACTATAATTTCACCATTAATTTTGCTAATCCAAATCGTATTGAAGAAACTGACGTGTAGAAAAGCCATTTAGGGCCAGGCACGGTGCCTCACACCTGTTATCCCAGCAATTTGGGAGGCTGAAGCAGGCAGATCACCTGAGGTCGGGAGTTTGAGACCAGCCTGACCAGCACAGAGAAACCCCGTCTCTAATGAAAATACAAAATTAGCCAGGCGTGGTGGCGCATGCCCGTAATACTAACTAGTTGGGAGGCTGAGGCAGGGGAATCGCTTGAACCTGGGAGGCGGAGGTTGTGGTGAGCGGAGATTGCGCCATTGTATTCCAGCCTGGGCAACAAGAGCGAAACTCTGTCTCAAAAAAAAAAAAAAAAAAAAAAGCGATTTAGCCAGAATTTCCCTTTTTTTTTTGCGTCATAGACTCAGAACCAATTGCAAAACATAAGCACAATGTGATATTTCTTCCTCAGCTATGTAAACAAAGACGTGCATACAAATAAGGGGATATGGATCTTCTTACCATATTCAGAAATAGCCAGTTGTAGTCTGTTTTTTATGTCAACATATTGTGAAAGATAATTGAAATTCCAGCAAGTGCCTATGTTATTAACAGTGGAGTTGATGCCATTATAATCTTGTAAACATCCAGGGAAATACAGCCAGATACATTGAAGAATGATCAAGTTTTGTAACCGACTGTAGTGCTTAATAATGTTACCGTTTTGGTCCATTATTGGAATATTGTATCTGCTTGAATTAATGTTTATAATGGCACTTTACTGCTATTGTCTGCTTGTTTTTATACTGATTTATGTGGTTATTAGACTGAATGCAATTTATGTTGAATTTTTTCAAGAAATGCAGTTTAGCAGAAGCACAAGTCGTTCTAAATAAACGGAATTAAGAAATCAAAGATACAGAAGACACTAGTTTTGGCCCTCTAATTGTCTACAGCAAGAAAATATATATTTTAAAAGGAAATATGAGTTCACAAGAAGATAAATAGACACATAATCCAGAGGCCAGTTGCTGGCAGAATTTCTTAGTTTGATGTGACTCTCTTTTTGACAGTTCTCCTAAGGTAGGTTATTTTGGAGAAAACATATGTTTCCATTTTCTCTCCCTCTGCTTCCCTTTGGGTCCCCAGGCTCCACTAGGGTCACAGAAACATTAAGGCTTTTGTCACTGTGATTAATAGCTCTTAAGATCATCTTTAATTCACTCACTAATGACTGAGGGTCTTTCTGCTCTCCAAGTAATCGGGTGATGTATGAGCCGATAGTACACCTTGTGGCAGAGGTGAAAATCATTCAGGCAATGCAAATATTGTCACGGGAACAAATGTTTTCCCTGTTAATAAAAATTAATGAATTCTACCCAGGAGCTAGTTAAGGAAGCTGTGGCGAAGGAAATCCAAACACAAATAACTTCTTACTGTTAAAAATCACTTATGTATTTTTTCTAGATATAGAAAAAGACCATCATTGCTGCATATTTCCATAAGAGATGAAATAATGACAAACTATAGAAATGCACTATGTTGTTTTTAAATTATCTTTTTCAGGTTCTTGAGTTTATTTAAAATTGTGAACTTTGGCATCTTATTTGTTTTAACCTTGGTTAAACTACAGGCTTCCCATACTGTACTAGCCTAATGAATACATTCCTCTTTTCATAGCCTAGTTAGGACCAAGAATTATAGTGGTCAGGGTTTATAACTATAAAATGATGTAATGAAGTTTAAATTTGAGAAACTCCTTGTAACACATCATAAAAGATTGATGAAACAGACTGGAGATTAATAAGTGGTTCAAATAGTTTTGAGAGAAAAAACAACAAAAACATTTAACACTATCATTATATTTATTGAATTCTTTAAAAATAAAAACATCTCCTCTCTTAAAAATTTGCCTCACATCATTAAAGCTTTTTCCTTACTACATCTACCTCAACCCCAGTTCATTTTGTAAGACAATAAATGTACAATGTTGTGAGGTGTGCCTGCTCTTTATGTACAGACACTTGCTATAGAAATAAATCTGCTGTCTTTTTGTTTCATTTTGATAGTCCATGATTCTTTCTTCTAATGACCAAAATTCATTGTCTCAATGGAATAAATATTTCTGAAATAGCTCCCAGTCCTTCCCCTATCATTTACATCTTAGAACAAAACAAAAAAAAAACAGTAAACTTTTTATACATCATTTTACCTCTCCACTGTGCTTATCTACAAAGGAACATATTACTGAGGAGGAAAAAAGCTCAACTTGTTACTATTATTTCTGGTAGGCACCCAAGGAGAGTAGCTAATTTGTTTTTCATCAATGCCAAGGACAAATTAAAACAAAAAACCTAACTGAATTATGCATTTATATGTGCTTGCTTCTAAAGTATGCTTATTTTCCCCAGAATGTTCAAATGAAAACATAAAAAATTTGACTGTATATTTGTTTAGTATCTCAGAATCTATTTATACAATTTTTAAATTAACTGAATTTTAAAATTATTGAAGGACATGTGGTATTCATTATCTAAATAAACTAAATTTGAAAAATATTAAAGGGAACATAATCTTAATTATCAATTACGTTTTGACACTTGGAGAATGGGTAAAATTAAAGAGGCAATTTCTGCCACCTCCCCATTATTAAGAATAAACCCTTTTTTTTCCCAGATGAATTCAGATAACAGCTCTCCAACGTTAAACTTGGAAGTAGGATTTTTCTCTAGATAGGTGCTTCTCCAAATGTGATCTTTGAATCTCCTGCGTTCAAACATTTGAAAGGTCTCACCCTACAGTCACAGTAAATCTCTGGGGACAAGCCCTGTGTATTTGCATTTTTAACAAGCACTCTAGATGATTTTTCACAAAGGTTAAAAACTACTGCTCTCAATGTTATTGAAAGAAATTTTCTTTCTTTCTTTTCTTTCTTTCTCTTTCTTTCTTTCTTTCTTTCTTTCTTTCTTTCTTTCTTTCTTTCTTTCTCTTTCTCTTTCTTTCTTTTCTCCTTCCCTCCCTCCCTCCTTCCCTCCCTTCCTTCCTTTTTTCCTTCCTTCCTTCCTTCCTCTTTCTTTCTTTTCTTTCTTTCATTCTGTCTGTCTGTTTGTCTTTCTTTTCTTTCTTTCATTCTGTCTGTCTGTCTTTCTTTTCTTTCCTTCTTTCGAGTTTCGCTGTTGTTGCCCAGGCTGGAGTGCAATGGCGTGATCTCTGCTCACTGCAACCTCTGCCTCCTGAGTTTGAGCAATTCTCCTGCCTCAGCCTCCCGAATAGCTGGGATTACAAGTGTGCCCCACCACACCCAGCACATTTTTGTAGTTTTAGTAGAGATGAGGTTTCACCATGTTGGCAGACTGGTTTCAAACTCCTGACCTCAAGTGATCCACCCGCCTTGGCCTCCCAAAGTGCTGTGATTACAGGTGTGAGTCACCATGCCCGGCCTAGTCAAAGAAATTTCATCATGACAACATTGGTTCTAATATATAGAATACTTTTTTTCCATTTACATAAAATGAATTTTCCACAATTGGGTCTCACCGTTTCTATAAACTTTTATATCTTACCCTTGATTCCAAAAGAAAAATGTTGAGTTTACACAGCTTCAGTACATACCTGGTGGGTAAAGGGTTTGGGCAAGTGCAGACAGCAAGGAAATCAAATATGAGCTTTTTGCCCAGAGAAGTTCTAATCACATAGTAAACAGTTAGAATTTACACGGGTCTTTATTTAATTAAGCCTGAGAACCACTATTTAGTTGCAGCTGGAGCAGAATCTTGGCACAGAATAGAACAATCTACTGTAGCCTTTAACCTTTTCCCTTTTAACTGTGCTTATAAGAAGGTGTGTTTCTTTAAAAAGGTGCTGCATATCTTTAAGCACTGTTTGTAGTCTTTGATATAAGGGTCACCTCACTGTGCACACATTTTAAAATTCAATAGTAAAGAAGAAGAATGAAATAGATGTATAGCCTAACAGGGCTTTTTGTGTTCTATGAGGTTGAAATAATTTATCCACATGATGAACCTTCATATTTTAAATGTTTTCTGTAATTTTTAATGAAGAAAGTATATGTCTGTTTGTGTGTTAGAGAGGGAGACATTGACATCTGCTTTACTGTTTCATAAGTCTTTGAGATCAGCTAAGGCTAAATAATGAGAAGAAAAAAATGACAGCCCGGCACAGTGGCTCACGCCTATAATCCCAGCACTTTGAGAGGCTGAGGCCAGTGGATCATCTGGGGTCAGGAGTTCGAGACCAGCCTGGCCAACATGGTGAAACCCTGTCTCTACCAAAAATACAAAAGTAGCCGAGTGTGATGGTGCACCCCTGTAATCCCAGCTACTCAGGAGGCTGAGGCAGGAGAATCACCTGAACCTGGGAGGCAGAGGTTGTGGCGAGCCAAGATAGTGCCACTGCACTCCAGCCTGGGTGACAGAGCAAGACTCTGTCTAAAAAAAAAAAAGACAGTAGTACTATCACAAAAATGACAGTGGAACTATCACTTTTCTTCATGACAAAGGGAGAGAATTAAACAAGATTCATACTAGGTCTCGAACTGTTGTCTCTCTGGCCTACAGTCAGTTTGTAGACACATGTAGTTTGGCTAACACAATGTGAAAAAAAAAAAGGTGAAAAACCTCACCCCAAAATCCAAATTTCTGATTTATCTTGAAGTATCAGATTATGTGGCCATATCAAACCAGTTTTCTCCATGGCAACACTCAGCCATACCTGATAGCAGCTCCCTCCTTTAGATGGAGCATGGCCTCTCCTAACCCCTTGGTCTGTGCCATCTCGTGTTGCCTTACACCTCATTTACCTGGTATGCTGGATGCTCTTAGCCATTTCTATATGTAAGTACTAATTCATGCTACTGAATTGAGAACCCCAAACAGGAGAATCTAAAAATCTCACAACCGTGTGTATTTGGCTTTAGGATTTGTGGCAGACCAGTCTACCTAATTGTATTTACCATGGAAAATATTGAAATTAGTCTGTGCGACTTTGAATCTAATCAGGTGAGTAAATCAGGGAATCCATCAGGGAATTACAAAGTAGGGAAGTTAACTTGAGCTCAAAGTTTGAAATAAGGGCTTTTTTTTCTTGTGGTACCATTTGGCAACAGGTCAAGGGACCTTTATTTCTTCTATGTAGGTCTTAGAGACCTATAATTCTGGAAGACCCCGGTTTTGATAATGTTCTACTAGCAACGGTAAGCCAGTAGGCAGTGCCAACTTTAGAAAACAATTATCAGGACATCTATGCAAGGTATCGCAGCCTCTTAGTAACCACAGGAAGTTCCCAGCCTCTCGCCACAAGCTTGAGTTTCCAAGGCTGACAGGTCCCTGCTACTCCCTTCCTACTCCTCCCACTTGAAGAAAGGCCACAAGTTCAGATTTCCCCACCAGCTAATGACTTTGGGTTTGTCTAACTCTGGCTGTAAGCTCTTTGGCATAGTTCAACCTTGCTTCTTTCAGAGGACAAATCTTATCTTTTTATTAGCAAACAGGATGGCTTAGATATGTCTTTATAGGACATTTGCTGGAGCATAATTTAATATGACTCATTTCCCCTTATATATAAAGACAGTGACTGAAACAGACAAGGGGAAAAACAAGCCCAAAAATGTTATTAGAAACTTGCACTTGAAAATGTGTAAAATTCTACTGCAGCTGGGGGATTTATTTAGAATGACTTGGCATTCTTTGCTTGGATGTCTAAATAGGCCTTGTGATACCATTTTTGGCCTCACTTTGAACCTAGTGTAATAAAGAAGGAAATGAAAGCAAAGGTAAACCTAAAGTATTGTTTTACTCTAAATGCTTTCAGTAAAGGGTCTTGTTATCTAATGATTGGTACTAGATGGCTGGTATAAATCGTATGGTCTGTTCTTTGCACTCATGGCTAAAGGAGGCAAAGGCAAAGGAAATCAATTGGAACTAGCAGGTAACAAATGACCAGTCTTAGGCAAACATAGCAGGTAGGGAAAATAGACTTGTGGACACAGATTACTAGGAAATAGTGCGGGAGGCCTTTTTCTCCTTATTCAAAATCCAGTGCAATTATACAAAGTAACTAATTAGACAATTATGAAATACAGGAATTGTTTTATCTGTTACCACTGTAAGCCTAGAACCTGAGAGCTATTAGTTTTCCAAGGGCCTAAAAAATTACTTGAAAAAAATTACTGGCTTAAAAATATGAATGAAAATGATAAAATCACAATTAATAAATGTTTATTAATGTAGTACTATGTCATCCAGTCCAGTATAATTCAAATCATCTAGAGTTGTGTTTTAATTATGTTAAATATAGAGTGTGGTTACATTTTAATTTTTGATATAACATAGGATGCAGCTTCCAAAATTAAGTAGCTAGGACAGGCAAAAGTCTTAAAATGGCCCTGATGAAAGATTGCATTTTATAGCTATATAACATTTTCTGCCAGAGGCCATCCAGAATATTGGAAATGAGGATTTATTGAAAAACAAATTACCTTTAGCTAGTTCTATGAATGGAATAGACTTACTGTTCAAAGTAGAATCTTACCAGGGAAGGCATCAATGAACATTCTACTTCTAACTTCTCTAAACTCACGCCATTCTTAATCATTTTTCAAAGTTTATTTTCTTCTTTTAGAGTTAAGTGCCCTTCTGCAAAGTACAAGTCAAGCTATATCTTTGAACTTTCAGCTGTAGGAGAGACAGTGGGACTCTGCAACACAGAGACTACCTGATTCTGCATTTATGCCATTCCTCTTGCTTTGTTGTTGAGGATTTTTTATGCACAATATCTTATTTGATCTTCACAACAATACACTGACGTAGAGAAGTGGTAATATCATTGACTCTATTTGGCCAATAATGACATGGAGACTAAGAGGGATTAGTGACACAGTATAAGGTATGCAACTATTAAGTGTGGAAGGGCCTGGAACTAAAATCTTTTCATGTTAAACCCATTAAACCTGTTACTACATCTAGCTACTGGACATGTATGAGTTAGGATATTTCTAGAGCCGAATTTTCAAGATGTTTTCTCCCTATAAACTTTACATCTCATCTGGTAGAAAATATGTTTACTCATCCATGCAACATTCAGGCAACAAATATTTGTTGAACATGTGCTATGGGTCAGATAGCATGCTAGTCTCTGAGCTTGTGATGGAGAATAAGATAGATACATTCCTTCCATTTTGCAGCTTGCATCTGAGGTTACATTCACTGCTTAGACTGAATCTGAGTCAATGTAATCTATTCTTTATACTGCAAAATTATTTAATTAAAAAAGTGAATCTTCTCTACACCAACCCTAAGACAGACAGATACACACCCACACACGTAACACCTATACACAGTGGTTTAATAGGAAGCTTGATTGAATTGTCCAGCAGTTTGGGGATCCTATAGCTGGAATGACAGGAAAAGCTTATATACAGCATATCTGATCAAGTATTCTGAGTTTTCATTCTGGCTGTTACCACAGCATTTTATATTGACAAGGAAGTTTAGAGTTGACTCCAGTCTCTCATTTCAACTGACACTCATGATATCTTTTGTATATCCTTAGCTAAAATTAATTATATTCTGCCTATTGTTCCTGTGGCTCTTTGGTTATACCACATTCATATATTTTTGGCTTTGTTTTCTAGTATCCAAGTGTCTGGCTCCTTCTCTAGACTATGAGCTTCTTGAAGACAGAGTCTCTTTTCATTTTCTTTGCACCTTTCTTTTATTTTTTTCCCTTCCCAGTGCCTAGCACAGAGACTTCCAGGTGATGTCAGGGTGAAAACCCAGACCAAGGGCATTGACCTTTGATTCCAATCCCTTTTACCACAAAAGCTCTCATTCTTTTAGTTTGTTGGTCTGAAAAAGTAGATAATAGCCTTAAGAGTTTTGTTTACAAAAAATAATTTGAGGTAAAAGATATTTTGCAAGTAGAAAAAAGGTACAATAGAGTGTGTATGACCTCATGAGCATATTCTTTTCCAACAAATTTTAAGATTTATATATTCATTTGCTAGGGCTGTCATAACAAAATACCATAGACTGAGTAGCTTAAAGCAGGGGTCTGCAATCCTGCAGTACCGGTCCACGGCCTGTTATTAGGCCTGTTAGGAACTGGGCCGCATAGCAGAAGGTGAGCAGCTGTCAGGTGAGCACTGCTGCCTAAGCTCCACCTCTGTCAGATGACTGACAGCATTCGATTCTCATAGGCAAGTGAACCCTATTGTGAACTGCGCATGTGAAGGATCTAGGCTCTTTATGAGAATCTAATGCCTGATGATCTGAGGTGGAAGTTTCATCCCAAAACCAACCCCCCACAGTCCATGAAAAAATTGTCTTCCATGAAACAGGTCCCTGGTTTACAAAAGGTTGGGGACCACTGGCTTAAACAACAGACATTTATTTTGTTGAAGTTCTGAAGTCTGGAAGTCCAAGATCAAGGTTGGTTTCTTCTCGCTGTGTTGCCTAGGCTGGAGTGAAGTGGTGTGATGTTGGCTCACAGCAACTTCTGCCTCTCGGGTTCAAGCGATTCTTCTGCCTCAGCCTCCCAAGTAGCTGGGACTACAGGCACCTGCCACCAGGACATGGCCTTTTCTCTGTGCCCATGCATTGACTGTGTTCTAATCTCCTCTTCTTATAGGGATACCAGTCATATTGGACTAGAGCCTACCTTAGTGACTTCATTTTAACTTAATTATCACTTTAAAGACTACCTCCTTATGACCACATTCTGAGGTATTAGAGGTTAGGATTTCAACATATGAATTTGAGGAGACACAATTGAACTCACCACTTCATTAATTTATTTCTGTCTCTAGTTACCACTTAGCTATCTTTCATACACACATATTTTGTCCTGAAAAGGAGTTACAATGATAGAAAAGATAGCAATAATCTCTCAACTCCTCTCTGTGATGGGATGCTTTTTATTTTAATAAATATTCTCTCCCTCGTGATTCCATCTTCTGTACAAGAGATTGCTGCAAAAAACTTAGACCTGGACATAACTCACATCTGAGTGGAGATTTCCATTAGCTTCACCACATCAAGTTCACCAGTTCTTTGGTCAACACAAGTTCATCTTCTTTTTAATAACCAAATGGACAAGATAAAGCCCTATTATTATTTATAGTCAGTAAGGACAATGACTTCCTTTTGAATAGCTGAAGAGGTTTCCTTTTATTTTAGACCAAGAATTAATTTGTGTGAAAATATCGGCCTATAGTATACTCAAAACCTCATTCTTTGACATAATTAGCTACCTAGACTCACCTAAATGAAGTGCAAATCCTTTACCTTAACAAAATACAAAGCTATTATACTACATTAAGAGCTAAAAATAACAGCACTTGATAAAGAATACAGAGACTAGCATAGCTCTGTGACTTTAAATGATAATATATGCATTTAAACATCATAATTTTTACTAAAAAATGAATTGGAAATACTAAAAAGTTTACATATTAGTATTTCTGTGACATGTGAGGGAAAGGGAATACCAATAATTATAAAAAGCTCGAAGAGGCTTTAAAAAAGAATTCATACCTTGAGAAGCTCTCTGTTATATATCCATGCTTGTTATTGAAAAAAAGTAATCTAGTAGAAAGAATATAGGCTCTGAATGTAGATTTCTCTGGTTTTCAATGTCCTCATTTGTAAATTGGGGGTTGATTAATTTCTACCTAATAGGGTTGTCACAAAGATTTAACGTGTATACATACAATATCTGGCACATAGTAGGCATTCATTAAATGCAGTCTCTTCCTCCTACATTCTCTGTTAGCCTTATGTTACTAACTGGATGCCTAAGTGATACCAACATTTTATGATTTTGCATTTGGAAGAAGGATTCTGAAGACTGTCTTGCACAATCTTCTCTGCTCCACGTGCAGCTCAATTAATCTCATATTAACTGCAATTACTCTTCTAGCCCTTTTACTTCAGCAATTACTAAATTTGTGACTGCTATAAACTGGTTCTCATATGTTTCATGCTATTAGTGCAGAAAACTATTCATTGACTTTAAATCAGACGGATTTCAAAAGGTGAAAAACACTTTTCAGGTTGAGTGAACTGAGAAGGATGGAAGGCAAACATTAATTCACCACCATGTTTGGATGCTCCAGGTGTCTCCTATGAGCACAGCGATGCCATTTGCCAATCTCCTGGTGACATGCCTGAGCATCAGAGGTTCCTTTTCCCTGCCTGAGTGTCCACCGTCTTGAAGTTGTGCTGTAACTTTTAGCTTAGATTGTGCCTCAAGATATTAAATGACTTTCCCACTGAACTGTGTCACTAGGGTCTCCCAAAGGAGCATGTACTTACCTGACAGAATCATTGGGAAAATGCTAATGACTTCTTTCTTAAAATATTATTAAAATTTTTTAGCTGAAGTTTTCACATAGGCTTTTTGCAAAAAGAAATCTGTGTTACAATGGATGGAGCAAACTCAGCCAAAATTATATTTTCGTGTAGGGAGAACTGTTGGGGGGATTTTTACTAGATAATGGCTGCCATTTTGTTCATTAATTTTTCAGATAGAAAAGTATTTCTGCAGTGTTTATTGTAGAATATTGTTAAAATACAAAACATAGCAAAGAAAACTATAATACACAGGCTCACCCTCAGAGATAACCACCTTCCACATTATCCATGTGTTATCTTTTCATCTTTTTTTCCTTCTGTATAGATCCTGTTACCAAAAGGCTCTATGCTATCTGCTTTGAAAAATTGCTTTACTTTTTCACTCACTGTGTTGCAAACATTTTCCCATGTTGTAGAATACTATTCTTCTTCAACATATGGCTGCACTGAATTCCATTGTGTTTATTTTCTCAAAGCTTCTATTGTTGGACATTTGATTGCTTAGATTTTTCATTATTATAAATAATGCTCTAACACTCAGACACAGCAAAATAAAGTGGCTAAGAATGTGGGCTTTTAAATATGCTCTATCGCTTACTGTTTGACCAATCAAAATGCCTTTTCTAAACCTTTGTTTCCTCAGCTGTAAAGTAATATAGTGGTCGGACATACCTCATAGGGTGACTCGAAGACACTAGATATAAAGTTTTAGTACAGGGCCTAATTCATAATCAACAAATGTTACATAGAGTTGTCTCTTTATTAGATACATTTTCTTGCATAATCTTATTTCTGTAAATGGAATTTCTGAATTAAAGCTCAGATCTTTTTAAAATTTTTGATTTGTATCAACAACTATGACCATATCTGGATAGAATTTGAGAGAATGCCTGCATGTTAAATGCAGATCAAGTGTATGGACAACTTGAGATTGTTAATCATAGCTCCGTTTTCTCGTGCAAAGAGCATGGACATGCACATTTCTTCTCTCTTAATTGATAAGTGATCTGGTGCCACTGAAGTCATCTGTGTAGTACATAAAAAATTGAAAGTGCTCCAAGGTCCTCTGAGACAGGAGAATTAGATTTTTATTCTGTAAGCTTATAAATTTTCGTTGATTCCAACTGGTTATCTGAGGCACATGCAAGTGGGGGGGGGTTTCTGCAAATGAACACTAAATTTTAATTTTCCTCTTTTCCCTCGATTTAGCTTGGGACATCTGGGTCTGGCTTTTCTTATTGTAGTTAAGCTGAATATATGGTGTTGAGTGTTTCTGTAGTATATAACAGAGTCTTTCCTTCAACTGAATCTGAAACCCTTCCAAAGTCAGAAGGAGAAAAAAAAACTAACCCTGAAAGAAATCACTTGTTTGACTGTAATAATCTGCAGAAACTGGTTAAAGCATTAAACAAAAAAATAAATGAATCAGATAGTTAGAACTAGTATGTCAGGAAAATAGAACATAAAATGCCTCTGGAATCTGTAGGATATTTTCTGGTACAAGGGGGTTTCTGAGTCATGGTTCATTTACAATGTCTGTTTCCTCACTCAGGGAAGGGTTTCTAATAGATTCAAGGAGACTCTAAGCTTTGCAAATGTCTTGCTCAAATAAAGGCAGCTCTGTGAGGGAAGAGATTTGCTCTGTTTATGGAGAAAACTTGCCAGTCATGTTTCACATTGTGTACCCTTCAGAAGAACAACCATCTTCTTTCACATGATGGTCAAGATGGAGGTTTGTACAATTGTGTCTTCTAGGTCTCTGATCATAGAGGTCATGAGCTGTGACTTTTTTAGACTAACTGGAGATGGACCGCCAACTTGTTCTGGAAGTCATGGTAGACTTAGAGAAATGCACTGCCAATCAGATCAGAAAAACTTTGAAAGCTTCCCTGAAGTTTTACTACCATAAAATCAGTTGCAGGGTTTAGCTGTGCCACCGAAAGGATGCTATTTTCAGCTTTTAAACCAGAGCATCATGGTCTTTGCATGGTAGGAATTTGACGAAACCTCAGCAGTCTTGATGATGCTTGTCTTAGTTTTCAAGGTCAGACTAAGAAATTGAGCTCTTGAGCCAGGCCTACAGGAGGTGGTCTCCCAGAACACTGAGTTTTTCTTTATTTCAATTGGAATAACTACAGGTCTGTTGAGAAGATGATGAAATGTCATGGGCTTAATGGAAACTTTAAGCATTTGACTATAAATTCTGGCAGAGGAAGAAGGCTACATTTTTTGGCTTGTTGCATCTTAGACTAAATCTCTGGGACCATCGGAAACTGAGTAAATATCATCCACTATGTCAGGGCACATCTGTCTTCTACTTATATCCCAGCTTGGTTTTGGTTCTAGATTACATATTACCTCTTTGGCAATTAATGATGGCTTAATTAATAACATAATGAGGATTTCATATCAGAAAAGAAGTATTCAAAACTTCGGAGGCAGCTTAAATGGGGCTTAGGAGAACTGAATCTTTGTCTTTGCTTGGAAGCTTCTAGTGAGTGTGGACAAAGTATGAGTCTCCCCCAGACCTCAGCCTCCTCATCAGAAATGGGATGGAGTTAATATTTGGTGATCCCTGCATGTTTCCTATTAATAAGGCATCTTATTAGGAAAATGCTAAAAAATTCTCACTAATTTCAAAGATATCTACCAAGGATTCCCATCCAGTGATAAATCTGATTAGTTTTGATCATCTTTTGTATAGTTTCTTTATCTTCTTCCAAAATAAGGAGAGATTTTCTGTTCACTGAGGTTAAATATCTGCAAGGAATTCTATACAGTTTCCCCTTACAAATAATCAGTTTCCCCTTTCAGGTGATCGGAAAACTTGAAATTGAGAAAAGTATGGTTACAAGCTCTATGGAAACATAAAACTTTTTAACAGAAAGGAACTTTAGGCAAACCCCTGCCTTCCTTGAAACCAAGAGAGGTTAATTGGCTTATGCAAAGTACCAATTTTTCTGTTTTCTTTTTCCTGTTGATACCTCGATGTGTGAAATCTTCCTTTGAGAAACTTCTGCCTTTTGTGAATCAGTGACATTGCAATGATTCTTAGAGTCTAGCTTCTTAGTGAGTCTTGCTACTCAAAGTATGATCCATAGACCAGCAGCATTAGAATCTCCTAGGAGCTTATTAGAAATGCACAATCTCAGGGTTCACCTAGATCTACTGAATCAGAGCTTGCATTTTAAGAAGAACTCAGGTAATTTCTATGTACATTACGGTTTGGGAAGCACTAGTAGACACATGACCCCAATTTAGTTATTTTTTCTGCTTACCAGAGCACTCTTTTTAAAAATAAGGGCAATTTTTACAATTTATTGTGTACCTTCTTTGTGCTGTACCATGTCTCTTATTTTCAAGCTCCACAAAATTGGTAGTATTTTATTTTACATATAAAAAAATACAGATCTTCAGAAAGATAAAGTAACTTGTCCAAAGTTGCATGCTGGTGAGCCACAGAAGTTGGATTTAAAGGGAGTATTTTTTGACTATGAAGTCCATAAAATTTTCACTGCGTTATGCATATGATTCAGGGGATCTGGGTAGGTGAATCTCTGCCAAAAGGCCAAATTTAATTCTTAAGGCTTGTGAGTTTTTGAAAATTTTAGTGTTCTATATCTTTAAAATGTGAATAATTGTCTTTCTTGACTCCATTAAATGACATAAATTCCTTTCCATTCAAAAGAATGTGATCTGAACTGTTAGACAAAAGCTTTTGGGTTCTAGGTAAACAAAAAAGAAAGAAAGAAAAGAAGCAACCAAATATGAAGTTTTGTATATGTGAAAAGAAAATTTACTCTTTCTCTGTAATTTGCTGTATTATATGAATAACATATTTTGTTTCTGGTGTAAACTCAGTTGCATTATTAATAGTTTTATGTATTTGCTTTTTGGCTTGGACTTTGATTAGATTAAGCACCATTAAGGAATGTGAATGATCATGGCATTCATTTTATCCTACAGAACATATCAGTTTTCTCTTCATTATTACACTAATTCCCAGTAAGTTTTAACATTACACACACAGCAACTTAGGCAACAAATAAAATAACAAAGGGATGTGAATAAAGTCTCAGCTAGAACTCTGACTTTCAAACATATAATTGAGAGTATTTATTGGTACAAATGAGCCTTATACTGGTAACTAGGATAACATCTATCTTTTTTTAAAAAAGAAACCAATAAAAAGAGCAAAAATAAAACTTACAATTGTTATTTGTTTATGAAATATAGATGATTATATAGTGAAGCATAAATCGTGTTTCTCTTAAGATTGTCCAGGTTCTTTACAGAAAGTTAAACCCTCAATTCTTTATTCTATGCTAATTATTCTTCAGAAGCCCAGATTTTCACTTGGATTATTACAGCTAATCTATGTTAGAGACAAGAGATGTTTAATCATGTCCACCTATTTATTCTTCAGGCTCTCACCTCTTACCTTCTGGGGAAGTTGCTAACTTAGAAATACCTGAGAATTTCTGAGCCTGAGCAGTGATATCTTCCAATCGTAATGCAGAAAAGAATTGTAAACATGAAGAAGTAAGAAATCGTTTTGTTTTTTTTTTTTAAAAAAACAAACATGCTATAAGTGATTGGTTTGCCAACCACAGAAAATGAGAATTCTCGTTGGTTAGCCTAGGCTGTAAGAACAGGGCAGCGAAGTAAGGAGGCAGGAAGAAAGAGATCAAAGGAAAGCAAGAAGAAGACAGTGTTAAGAAGCAGAAGAGCAAACATGAGACCATGTAAAAGATGCACTAGAAAGCTGGCAAGAATTAGATCTACTGCCAATGGTCCACTGACCAACAGGCAAAGGAGATTGGCAATGGGCCTCATGGGGAGAAAGGAAAAATGTCATTTAGAACAGCACAGCAATCTAGAAGTACTTCTTGTATGGCAAACAACTCCACATTCCTTAACAGTGTCCTGAATCTGCTAAATTCTAGCATGTACAATTGTGTTCACAAAAGTGAGAAGACAAGAAGATAATACATTTTAAAATGATCTTTCATATTAATAATAAATGATCAACATTTAAAAGCCATCAGAACCTAATCGTTTAGCCTTCAAAGAACTAGAAACCTTCCCTTTTTACCTGGTTTTGACAGATAATAGAACCCTTTCCCTTAGACCATGTCCTACCTCTTAGTCCGTTCTCTGAACCTCATTCCAGTGGGACTGGAGTTTGTCATGACTGCAGTGACTTCATCGGAGATGTAGTTACAAGAAAAATACAGTACACTGTCATCATTGCCAAATGTGCCTACTATAATATAATATTCTATGGAATGTTAGGGTCCTTTACAGGAGATGAAAACACACCCTACATAAAATTGTGTTCAATGGAATATTGATGAAATACACTTTATTTTAGTTATCTTCAAGGTTCATTTATACATACCTATTTTATTTCAAAGTGCATGTTCATGTTCAGTTAAAGCATCTTCAATAACACTTTAGTGACCATCCTATATTAAAACATCATATTCTTAGGAATTATGGGCTTGGTTAGTGAGGTTGAAAATTCAGTTCTTCATTTTTGAGAGAAATTGAAAGTAAAAATTGAGTCATGAGTCAAGCCTATTCCTTGAAAATGATTCATAGTTGAACCAGAGGAGTGGGGCTCTCTTCTCCCTTTTCACTACCTATAATTGTGTCCGTGGAGGAAACTGCCATTCCCTATTTCTAGGGGCCGGCTTCCTATAAGGAAATATGTTTGCTATTTGCCTCATTGTTCAGATAAAAAGAAACCACTGCTACATTTCTTCTGTTTCTTCATTTTCAACATTTCCCCATAATTTGAATTTCAGATCCATGGGTTCTTGGTATTGAAAGGAATCTTAGAGAACACCCAGCCCAACTTACCATGGGAATTTAAAGATGTGGTCATGGTGGGTTTGCTGCAGGGATTGGAGCCATAATGCAGGTCCCATGCTTCCATGCTTTGCAGGTCAGAGCTCTTTCTAGGACATCACTCTGGCTATGCCTGGGAAAACTGCTGATCTTGCCCAACAGTAGTTGATTGGTGGAGAGATGCTTGAACTTGGGAAGTGGAAGACCCACTGTCTTCCACAATGGTTGAACTAATTTACACTCCCACCAACAGTGTAAAAGCATTCCTATTTCTCCACCTCCTCTCTAGCATCTGTTGTTTCCTGGCTTTTTAATGATCGCCATTCTAACTGGCGTGAGATGGTATCTAATTATGGTTTTGATTTGCATTTCTCTAATGACCAGTGATGATGAGCTTTTATTCATATGTTTGTTGGCTGCATAAATGTCTTCTTTTGAGAAGTGTCTGTTCATATCCTTTGCCCACTTTTTGATGGGGTTGTTCATTTTCTTCTTGTAAATTTGTTTAAATTCCTTGTAGATTCTGGATATTAGGCCTTTGTCAGATGGATAGATTGCAAAAATTTTCTCCCATTCTGTAGGTTGCTTGTTCACTCTGATGATAGTTTCTTTTGTTGTGCAGAAGCTCTTTAGTTTAATTAAATTCCATTTGTCAATTTTGGCTTTTGTTGCCATTGCTTTTGGTGTTTTAGTCATGGAGTCTTTGCCTATGCCTATGTCCTGAATGGTATTGCCTAGGTTTTCTTCTATGGTTTTTATGCTTTTAGGTCTTACATTTAAATCTTTAATCCGTCTTGAGTTGATTTGTGTATAAGGTGTAAGGAAGGTGTAAGACCAATCTGTGCCATTGGTCTGTATATCTGTTTTGCCACTGGTACCATGCTGATTTGGTTACTGTAGCCTTGTAGTATAGTTTGAAGTCAGGTAGTGTGATGCCTCCAGCTTTGTTCTTTTTGCTTAGGATGGTCTTGGCTATATGGGCTCTTATTTGGTTACATGTGAAATTTGAAGTAGTTTTTTATAATTCTGTGAAGAAAGTCAATGGTAGCCTGATGGGGATAACATTGAATCTATAAATTACTTTGAGCAGTATGGCCATTTTTATGATATTGATTCTTCCTATCCATGAGCACGGAATATTTTTCCATTTGTTTGTGTCCTCTCTTATTTCCTTGAGCCGTGGTTTGTAGTTGTCCTTGAAGAGGTCTTTCACATCCCTTGGGATTTGTATTTCTACGTATTTTATTCTCTTTGTAGCAATTATGAATGACATTCACTCATGATTTGGCTCTCTGTTTGTCTATTATTGGTGTATAGGAATGCTTGTGATTTTTGCACATTGATTTTGTATCCTGAGACTTTGCTAAATTTGCTTATCAGCTTAAGGAGATTTTGGACAGAGACAATGTGTTTTCCTAAATATACAATCATGTCATCTGCAAACAGACCATTTGACTTCCTCTCTTCCTATTTGAATATCCTTTGTTTCTTTCTCTTGACTGATTGCCTTGGCCAGAAATTCCAATACTATGTTGAATAGGAGTGGTGATATAGTATATCTTTGTCTTGTGCCGGTTTTCAAAAGGAATGCTTCCAGGTTTTGCCAATTCAGTATGATATTGGCTGTGGGTTTGTCATAAATAGCTCTTATTATTTTGACATATGTTCCATCAATACCTAGTTTATTGAGTGTTTTTATCGTGAAGGGGTGTTGAATTTTATCGAAGGCCTTTTCTGCATCTATTGAGATAATCATGTGGTTTTTGTCATTGGTTATGTTTATGTGATGGATTACGTTTATTGATTTGTGTATGATGATCTAGCCTTGCATCCCAGGGGTGAAGCCGACTTGATCATAGTGGATAAGCTTTTTGATGTGCTGCTAGATTCGGTTTAGTATTTTATTGAGGATATTCGCATTGATGTTCATCCGGGATATTGGCCTGAAATTTTGTTTTTTTGTTGTGTCTCTACCAGGTTTTTGTATCAGGATGATGCTGGCCTCGTAAAATGAGTTAGGGAGGAGTCCCTCTTTTTCTATTGTTTGGAATAGTTTTAGAAGGATTCGTACCAGCTCCTTTTTGTACCTCTGGTAGAATTCAGCTGTGAATCTGTCTGGTCCTGGGCTTTTTTTGGTTGGTAGCCTATTAATTAGTACCTCAATTTCAGAACTTGTTATTGCTGCATTCAGGGATTTGACTTCTTCCTGGTTTAGTCTTTAGAGGGTGTATTTGTCCAGGAACTTATCCATTTCTTCTAGATTTTCTTTTTTTTTTTTTGTTTAGTTTTTTTTTATTATTATACTTTAAGTTTTAGGGTACATGTGCACAATGTGCAGGTTAGTTACATATGTATACATGTGCCATGCTGGTGTGCTGCACACATTAACTCGTCATTTAGCATTAGGTATATCTCCTAATGCTATCCCTCCCCGCTCCCCCAACCCCACAACAGTCCCCAGAGTGTGATGTTCCCCTTCCTGTGTCCATGTGATCTCATTGTTCGATTCCCACCTATAAGTGAGAATACGTGGTGTTTGGTTTTTTGTTCTTGCGATAGTTTGCTGAGAATGATGATTTCCAATTTCATCCGTGTCCCTACAAAGGACATGAACTCATCATTTTTATGGCTGCATAGTATTCCATGGTGTATATGTGCCACATTTTCTTAATCCAGTCTATCATTGTTGGACATTTGGGTTGGTTCCAAGTCTTTGCTATTGTGAATAGTGCCGCAATAAACATACGTGTGCATGTGTCTTTATAGCAGCATGATTTATAGTCCTTTGGGTATATACCCAGTAATGGGATGGCTGGGTCAAATAGTATTTCTAGTTCTAGATCCCTGAGGAATCACCACACTGACTTCCACAATGGTTGAACTAGTTTACAGTCCCACCAACAGTGTAAAAGTGTTCCTATTTCTCCACATCCACTCCAGCACCTGTTGTTTCCTGATTTTTTAATGATTGCCATTCTAAGTGGTGTGAAATGGTATCTCATTGTGGTTTTGATTTGCATTTCTCTGATGGCCAGTGATGGTGAGCATTTTTTCATGTGTTTTTTGGCTGCATAAATGTCTTCTTTTGAGAAGTGTCTGTTCATGTCCTTCGCCCACTTTTTGATGGGGTTGTTTGTTTTTTTCTTGTAAATTTGTTTGAGTTCATTGTAGATTCTGGATATTAGCCCTTTGTCAGATGAGTAGGTTGTGAAAATTTTCTCCCATTTTGTAGGTTGCCTGTTCACTCTGATGGTAGTTTCTTTTGCTGTGCAGAAGCTCTTTAGTTTAGTTAGATCCCATTTGTCAATTTTGGCTTTTGTTGCCATTGCTTTTGGTGTTTTAGACATGAAGTCCTTGCCCACGCCTATGTCCTGAATGGTAATGCCTAGGTTTTCTTCTAGGGTTTTTATGGTTTTAGGTCTAACGTTTAAGTCTTTAATCCTTCTTGAATTAATTTTTGTATAAGGTGTAAGGAAGGCATCCAGTTTCAGCTTTCTACATATGGCCAGCCAGTTTTCCCAGCACCATTTATTAAATAGGGAATCCTTTCCCCATTGCTTGTTTTTGTCAGTTTTGTCAAAGATCAGATAGTTGTAGATATGCGGCGTTATTTCTGAGGGCTTCTAGATTTTCTAGCTTACTTACATAGAGGTGTTTACAGTGTTCTCTGATTGTAGTTTGTATTTCTATGGGGTCAGTGGTGCTATCCTCTTTATCTTTTTTTATTGTGCCTATTTGATTTGTCTCTCTTTTCTTCCTTATTAGTCTAGCTAGAAGTCTATTGATTTTGTTCATCCTTTTTTAAAAAAAAACAGCTCCTGGATTCATTGATTTTTTTCAAGAGTTTTTTTGTGTCTCTATTTCCTTCAGTTCTGCCCTGATCCTAGTTATTTCTTGTCTTCTGCTAGCTGTTGAATTTGTTTGCTCTTGCTTCTCTAGTTCTTTTAATTGTGACATTAGGGTGTCAATTTTAGATCTTTCCCATTTTCTCCTGTGGGCATTTAGTGCTATACATTTCCCTTTAAATTCTGCTTTAGCTGTATCCTAGGCATTCTGGTACATTGTGTCTTTGTTTTCATTGGTTTCAGAGAACTTATTTATTTCTGCCTTAATTTCATTATTTACCCAGTAGTCATTCAGGAGCATGTTGTTCAGTTTCCATTTAGTTTTGTGATTTTGAGTGAGTTTCTTAATCCTGAGTTCTAATTTGATTGCACTGTGGTTGGAGAGACTGTTTGTTATGATTTCTGTTCTTTTGCATTTGCTGAGGAGTGTTTTACTTCCAATTATATGGTCGGTTTTAGAATAAGTGCTATGTGTTGCTGAGAAGAATGTCTATTACTTTGATCTGGGGTGGAGAGTTCTGTAGATGTCTATTAGGTCCACTTGGTCCAGAGCTGATTTCAAGTCCTGGATATCCTTGTTAATTTTCTGTCTCATTGATCTGTCTAATATTGATGGTGGGGTATTAAATTCTCCCATTATTATTGTGTTGGAGTCTAAGTCTCTTTGTAGGTCCCTAAGAACTTGCTTTATGAATCTCGTTGCTCCTGTATTGGGTGCATATATATTTAGGATAGTTAGCTCTTCTTGTTGCATTGATTCCTTTATGCAATGCCCTTCTTTGTCTTTTTTTATATTTGTTGGTTTAAAGTCTGTTTTAACAGAGACTAGGATTGCAACCCATGCTTTTTTTTTCTTTCCATTGGCTTGGTAAATATTCCTCTGCCCCTTTATTTTGAGCCTATGTGTGTCTTTGCATATGAGATGGGTCTCCTGAATACAGCACACTGATGGGTCTTGACTCTTGATCCAATTTGCCTGTCTGTGCCTTTTAATTGGGGCATTTAGCCCGTTTGCATTTAAGGTTAATATTGTTATGTGTGAATTTGATCCTATCATGATGCTAGCTGGTTAGTTTGTCCATTAGTTGATGCAGTTTCTTCATAGTGTCGATGATCTTTACATTTTGGTTTGTTTTTGCAGTGGCTGGTACCAGTTTTTTCTTTCTATATTTAGTGCTTCCTTCAGGAGCGCTTGTAAGGCAGGCCTGGTGGTGACAAAATCCCTCAACATTTGCTTGTCTGTAAAGGATTTTATTTCTACTTCACTTATGAAGCTTAGTTTGGCTGGATATGAAATTCTGGGTTGAAAATTCTTTTCTTTAAGAATGTTGAATATTGGCCTCCACTTTTTTCTGGCTTGTAGGGTTTCTGCAGAGAGATCCACTGTTAGTCTGATGGGCTTCTGTTTGTGTGTAACCTGACCTTTCTCTCTGGCTGCCCTTAACAAATTTTCCTTCATTTCAACCTTGATGAATCTGATGACTATGTGTCTTGGGGTTGCTCTTCTGAAGGAGTATCTTTGTGTTGTTCTCTGTATTTCCTGAATTTGAATGTTAGCTTGTCTTGCTAGGTTGCAGAAGTTCTCCTGGATAATATCCTGAAGTGTGTTTTCCAACTTGGTTCCATTCTCCTGTCATTTTCAGGTATGCCCATCAAACATAGGTTTGGTCTTTTCACATATTCCCATATTTCTTGGAGGCTTTGTTCATTCCTTTTTATTCTTTTTTCTCTAATCTTGTCTTCACACTTTATTTCACTAAGTTGATCTTCAATCTCTGATACCCTTTCTTCCACTTGATTGATTGGGCTATTGATACTATGTATGCTTCACGAAGTTCTCGTGCTGTGTTTTTCAGCTCCATCAGATCACTTACGTTCTTTCTAAACTGGTTATACTAGTTAGCAATTCCTCTAACCTTTTCTCAAGGTTTTTAGCTTCCTTGCATTGAGTTAGAACATGTTCCTTTAGCTTGGAGGAGTTTGTTATTACCCACCTTCTGAAGCCTACTTCTGTCAATTCATCAAACTCATTCTCCGTCCAGTTTTGTTCTCTTGCTGGTGAGGAGTTGCCATCATTTGGAGGAGAATGGGCATTCTGGTTTTTGGAATTATCAGCCTTTTTGTGCTGGTTTTTCCCCATCTTCATGGATTTATCTACCTTTCATCTTTGCTCCATCTTTGGATGGAGGTTTTGCATGGTTGTCCTTTTTGTAGATGTTGATGCTATTATTTTCTGTATGTTAGTTTTCTTCTAACAGTCAGGCTCCTCGTCTGCAGGTCTGCTGGAGTTTGCTGGGGGTTCACTTCAGACCCTGTTTGCCTGGGTCTCACCAGTGGAGGCTGCAGAACAGCAAAGATTGCTGCCTGCTCCTTCCTCTGGAAGCTTCATACCAGGGGGGCACCCACCATATACCAGCCGGAGCTGTCCTTTATGAGTTGTCTGTTGACCCCTGATGGGAGATATCTCCCTCTCAGGAGGCACGGGGGTCTGGGACCCACTTGAGGAGGCAGTCTGCCCCTTAGCAGATCTTGAGTGCTGTGCTGGGAGATCCACTGCTCTCTTCAGAGCAGGCAGGCAGGAACATTTAAGTCTGCTGAAGCTGCACTTACAGTCGCCCCTTCCCCCAGGTTCTCTGTTCCAGGAAGATGGAAGTTTTACCTATAAGCTCCTGACTGGGGCTGCTGCCTTTCTTTCAGAGATGGCTTGCCCAGAGAGGAGGAATCTAGAGAGGCAGTTTGACTACAGTGGCCTTGCTGCACTGAGGTGGGCTGTGCCCAATCGAAACCTCCTGGTGGCTTTGTTTACACTGTGAGGGAAAACCACCTACTCAAGCCTCAGTAATGGCAGACATCCCTCCCCCAACCAAGCTGGAGCATCCCAGGTCGTCTTTAGACTGCTGTGTTGGCAGTGAGAATTTCAAGCCAGTGGATCTTAGCTTGCTATGCTCCATGGAGTTGGGATCCACTGAGCAAGACCACCTGGCTCCCTGGCTTCAGCCCCCTTTGCAGGGTAGTGTTTGGTTCTGTCTCACTGGAGTTCCAGATGCCACTTGGGTACAAAAAAAAAAATAAAAAAAAAAACAAAAAAAAAACTCCTGCAGCTAGCAGCTAGCTTGGTGTCTGCCCAAATGGCCCCCCAGGTTTGTGCTTGATACCGAGGGCACTTGTGGTGTAGGTACCTGATGGAATCTCCTGGTCTGTGGGTTGCAAAGACTGTGGGAAAAGCATAGTGTCTTGGCCAGAAATCACAGTCCCTCATGGCACGGTCCCTCATGGCTTCCCTTGGCTAAGGGATGGAGTTCCCCAACCCCTTGCGCTTTGCAGGTGAGGCAATGCCTCACCCTGCTTCGGCTCGCCCTCTGTGGGCTGCAACCACTGTCTAACCAGTCCCAGTGAGATGAACTGGGTACCTCAGTTGGAAATGCAGAAATCACCTGCCTTCTGCATTGGTCTCACTGGGAGCTGCAGATCAGAGCTGTTTCTATTCGGCCATCTTGCCCAGGAATCCTCCTAACTATGTTTTTAAAAGGAAATCTGCTTTTATATATTTTCTAAAACAATTTGAATAAAGTGCAGGGGTTGTTAAAGTCACTGGTGTTATCTTGACCATGAATAAAACACAAAAGTAAGTGCTCAATGGTATACAGTATTTCAGGAGCTGAAATTCAACAGTCACTGAACTGAACAGTTTAAACTTTTGAAGAGAAAAGCTGTAACCCAAACTGAGAGATTGTTCCAATCATTTGAAAAGCCAGTGGTTGGTTTATAGTCAAATGAAAATTAGTGATGTTCTTATATGTTTCAGTTATATTATATTATTTAGATCATAATATTCCTAATGTTCTTCACACCTGACTCAAATTTTTCCTTTTTGCCTTTCTTCTGAAGTCAAACATTATTATAATTAATATTTTTAAAGGATTCATACTGGGAAGAGATGAGACATTTTGGCATTTACCTTAATTTTCTTTGGAAGATGCTTGTTTTCCTTGTCAGCTGTAGGGGGAAAATCCTTCTATGAAAATCAATAGATCGTAGCTTTCAGGAGCATTTGTCTGGTATGATTTTGATGGCATACGCAAGAATTGCCAAAGGAGTGTCACAGAAGCCAGATGAGAAACGCAGGGAACATCATCTTTCTTTTTATGGAAAACAGCATGGATTTTCAAGAGTAAGATCATTGTAATAAAAATAACCCAAATAAATTTAAAAAAAACTTTTAATTAATTTATTTTTATCTTTTTAATTTTTATTTATTCCTTTTTTTTTTTTTTGAGACAGAGTCTCACTCTGTTGCCCAGGCTAGAGTGCAGTGGCGCAATCTTGGCTCACTGCAACCTCCGCCTCCTGGGTTCAGGTGATTTTCCCGCCTCAGCCTCCCAAGTAGCTGGGATTACAGGTGCCTACCACCATGCCTGGCTAATTTTTGTGTCTGTAGTAGAGATGGGGTTTTGCCATGTTGGTCAGGCTGGTCTTGAACCCCTGATCTCAGGTGATCCACCTGCCTTGGCCTCCCAAAGTGCTGGGATTACAGTCATGAACCACCGTGCCCAGCCTTATTTTTATTTTTATATAAAGTCTTGCTCTTTCGCACAGGCTGGAGTGCAGTGGCTTGATCTTAGCTCACTGCAACTTCTGCCTCCCGGGTTCAAGCGATTCTCCTGCCTCGGCCTCCTGAGTAGCTGGGATCACAGGCATGCACTACCATGCCTGGCTACTTTTTGTATTTTTAGTAGAGACAATGTCTCGCCATGTCGGCCAGGCTGGTCTGGAACTCCTGGCCTCAAAAGATCTTCCCACCTTGGCCTCCCAAAGTGCCGGGATTACAGGCATGAGCCACTGCGCCCAGTCAGAAATTCTTTAACATAAATATTTATGTAAGGTGTGGATGGCACCTGGCCTTGCAACTTTTGGGCTCTTTGGTGCTTTTGCAGAAGTCATTGTTCTTATATTGGAAATGCCATCTGGAGTCACAATATGCAATTTGGATTAGTGGAGCCTCTCAGAGTGCGGACGTCAGGAAACCAAGCATACATCTCCTCTACAGCTTCTTCATACAGTCAGGAGGGAAATTCACAGTGCAGTGCCTATCCTTGGGTTTTAACCTGCAAGCTGAGTCCATGATATACTGATGTTCTTTACAGAAGGATTTTTCTATAGCATGAAATATCTAACAGAGAGAGTTTCAAGAAAGTACTTTTATAAACATTCCTGCTTGTGGTTAGTTTGGGATTTGGATTCTTTAGAGAGCAATATCTTTCCTTTCGGTTTTATGACCTTCTTTTTCTTAATGCTTAGAAAGCAAAGAGTTTTGCCAAACATTTTTTTTTCTGGCAATAGTGTCATTTGGAAAATGAAAATTGAAAGGCTCAGTTTCTCTTACTAAAGTCTTCAGATATTTATATGTAGTTTAATAGTTTCATCCTAAGAAAGTAAAGGACCTTTCCACATTTGTTAGCATATGGAATGGTGATACATATATACAGACACACACACAAACCTATGTATATGCATATATTCATATGGAGATAGACAAGATTACTAAATTCAGTAGTGGAAAATGGGCAGGAGCTATGCTTACAATTCATTTCTATCCCTGATTCTATCTAAATAGAAGACTAAGCATTTCATGTTTTTGTGGACTATGGGTAAGTCCTTTTAATTTTTGCTAACCGTTGGACAACTCTGCAGATAATAAAATAATGACAATGTTTTGCATTGTCAATTATTTTGTCCTGAAATAACTAGTCTTTGAGTTCATTGAAAACATTTAGAGAAATCTAAATAATCCAAGCAGAATGAAAGGAAAAGGGCGGCTGTGTTTTGATAGGCGTCAATGGGCACGACTGGTTGAGTCTAGTTTGTGATGAGATATTTATTCCCTCCTAGGCACAGTTCCACAACTCACTTAACTTTGTAAATGTGGAGGAGAAATGTCAAATGATGTTTCCTATTTGTCTAGCGCTTTTCTTCTCTGATAACAAGTATTACTCATGCTGGATTTCACAAAAAACCATGGAATCTCAGTCTCCAGGGGGAAAAGTTGAGATATTGTCATAGGCCTCTCTTATTGTCCTTCCTTATAAGAAGGCATCAGGGTACAAAGGACACAATAAGTGAAGACAGGTCTTGTAAGCTGCCAAAGGCCATGTCAATGAGGTTCCAAAAGAAAAGTCGGTCTTTATTCTATCACATTGTCACATCCAAGAAGGGATAGCTGATGGACAGAACGTTTGATATTTTAAAAACTACTGAACAAAAAGCCCAGTCTTTTCTCCACAAAGTTCTCCAAAAGTATTAGGAAGCAAATGAATGCAAATATAATTCAAGTTAAGGTACAATTTTAGCATAGTTGCTTTGTCACAACTGTTTTTCTGATGGCCATTCTCTGGGTAATTTTTGTGCTAAGCCATTTTTGATTTCGCCTGATATGTTGATGGCAGAGTGGTGTGTCTTTATGTGCATGGAAAATAAACGTGAAAAATGACTTATTGTTGCTGTCTGAAAGCTCCTCAGTTTCTGAATTATAAGGCAAATTAGGCCTCAGATTTCATTTTTGTAGCCATAGTATTGGTGAATGATAAATACTAGAATATCTGAATTTGTCTATATCCACACTTGTCAGAAAAGAGAAACAAGTTTAAGCAGTTGTTTAGGAAAGCCCACAATATTGCGTTTTCTCTGACTTTAGGTTACTATCCTCTCAGTAGTGTTAAAATTATAATGATCAGCCTAGCTTCAATGGATGCATGCTCTTCTGTCTCATGAATCCAAAGAAAAATTGTTAGCTAATTCAAATAGTATTTGCCATGGTCAGTGAAGAAAATTGCCCTTTGAAGTGCTGCTAAAGTCATGGGAGTACAGTTATGAGGGTTTCAAAATGTATAGCTGGAAAGTCATTCTTGCAAAGCGTCTATTTGAAAAACAAATGTATTTAAAATAAGTGAAAAATAAAGTACTGCATCACACAAAACTACTCTGTTTAAAGCAGGCAGAATCTTGAAATATAGATGGCATGAGTGTAAAATGTTACAAAATGTACTCACCTGTGGTTTGGGGCTAGATAGGTTGAGGATAATATTTTAAAACAAATTGCTATCAAAAACCATTCAAACCACGCCATGAAAATGCTGCAGAGTTGCTAAGTGATTTTAAGCAGAGAACACTAGTAACTCTCCTTTGGGAAAATGGAAAACACAAGCAAAATAAGACAAAGTAATCATTTTCAAATTCCTGAAGGGATGTAGATTTAGGAATTGAAGCAATTTCTATTCGATTTTATCAAGTTAGAGCATAAGATAAGATAAACTAGCAACAGATAATTTGCAATGAGTGATCTAAAGCTGAAAGGAACTGTGAGAGTCGCTCTTCTCAGCTCGGGCCTTAGGTTGGTGAGATATTATTTGCTCAACTTTATAAATGAGTTGACTGTGACCCAGAGAGGTTAGGTGACTCTCTCACTGTTGCAGAGCTATGGTAAATAGGGCATTCTAACCTAGGCCAATTTCCCCCCTTCTTAAGCATGTCTGAAACTACATTACTCTGTTGTGGTCTGTGAGTTTATTATTTAATATATGTGGCATCTCCACATTTCTTAAGCACTCACAGGGTTGGAAACACCATGCTAGCTGTGAGGAGACTGGGATTGCCAATATCAAATCTGTGTTGAATAAGACACTTTACCTATTCTGTTTTTTTTTTAATTGTCACAAATCTCCTTTTAAAAAGTGTTATTCTTCTGTTTTTAACAGATGAATATAAAACTGAGGCCCAGCCTGCTTACGTTACTTGCTTGAGGTCAGTGGTTAGCATACAGCCAACCAGGATTAAAAGCTAGCTCTGTTTATGTCCGTAGTGCCTGCTCTTTTTACTATTTCTGTAGTCTTCATGGGAAAGGAGAATAAATAATAGTACTGTGGTTGATAATTTCAAAGTTTTTAGTATCTGACAGGAGAAAGTTCTTTAAAGAACACATCTAAAAAAATCAAGACATCAAGACCGTGTTTTGGGAATCCTAATCACTTCTTAGTGAGAACTCTTCATTCTTGCTCTGTTGTTTTACTTACCAGAAGTTTTCCTTTACTGCATATTAATTCCTGGTCCCTGTGGTATGAGAAATTGAAGGAGCAGGAAGGCCTGTCTGGCTCAGTGGGACTGGGTTGCTATTTAGTCTGGCTGTTTCCTACCTCGCATGTCGATTGATTATCCTGCCTATCATGTGTTGACATATTTTGCTTGCTGTACTGATTATACATTGGGAGTGCTAATTCTTTTATTGGGTTAGAGTTCAAAGGTGCTCATCTGTCAGCAAAAAGTGTCTCATTTCATGGCATGCTTGGCCTCCTCTTATATCTGTCATTTTTATACTGTTCTCGGAAGTTTTCCTCTTATTTCTGGTCCTCGTTCAATAGCAAAGATCTTGAAGGATTTTCCTTTGTAGTGGGCTATTTTGTACAGTTTTTGGAGACAGATTCTGTTCTTTGAAGATATGCAGAATATTGGCATTTCACAGACTATGACTGCAGCAATGGAAATCACACTATATCCTGCTCTTTGTTAACACTGTTGGTGCAGATCTCTAAATCTTGGAATTTTCCCAAACATGATCAATTTCTGAGGCCAATAAGTAGATGGATCCAAACTTGGATTTTGCATGTCAATGTCACAGTATTCTGGATAACCATCAAGAAGTGGAATTCCTTGGAGAAGAGTCTGATGACTGGTGATTTGATTACATATAACAATATAAAGACTCTCCTAATGCCTGAATTCCTTGTCAGTGCATCTGTGGAATATAGATAGGTAAATGTTTCCATATGGATAGATAGACAGGTATTTCTTTCCTCTCCTAATTTTGGATTAAAATCCTAAGTAGAAATATCCTCAGAAGTTATTATTTTGGATTATGTGTGAGGAAGTATTTTACAATTAGTTTGAGGTGTTTAAGATATAAGTAGCAAGCCCTTCTTGAGAAGACTGCCAACATGTCAAGAGTACATTTTGTTGTAGTTTTATTTCGATTTTTACTTTCCTTACAGGTCCCACTTAGAAGTTGATTGAAATAATAACAAATGTTCTATTACAGTAATAATAAATTACAAAAAATGTTTTTGTGAACTGGTAAGATAATCAATGATGACTGGCTTTTCTCTAAATTTTCATGAAGCTTTAACAAGTTAGCCTTTAATGTTGATATAATATGTGTGTAAATCTTAAGTTAGAGAATTACCTGGAGTTGGTTGAACCAACCTTATAGAGAGGAGCAAAGTGAAGCCAAGAAGTGAGTAGCCTTCTTTTGGAAAGGAAAGAAACATATTAGTTATTGTCAAATTTTAATGAGTTTATTTGTCATTTGATAGTTTGGGTACTGTAAATGGTGGGAGCGATGGAACTATTAGAATAACCTTGAAATAGGACAGGCACAGTGGCTCACACCTGTAATCCCAGCACTTTGGGAGGCCGAGGTGGGTGGAGCATGAGGTCAGGAGTTCAAGACCAGCTTGGCCAAGATGGTGAAACCCTGTCTCCACTAAAAATACATGAGAAAAAATTAGCTGGGCGTGGTGGCAGGTGCCTGTAATCCCAGCTACTTGGGAGACTGAGGCAGAGAATTTCTTGAATCCGGGAGAGGTGGAGGCTGCAGTGAACCGAGATTGCATCACTGCACTCCAGCTTGGGTGACAGAGTGAGACTCCATTAAAAAAAAAAAACAAAAAAAAACAGTAACCAAATAACCTTGAAATAGAATAATATGAGAATATTATGATATTATGCTTGGGCTCAAGAAGACTGGTTTTAATGAAGTGAGACACATAAACTCTCTGAGCCTTAGTTTTTAAAATCTGTCAAATGGGACTGTTACCTATTTATGCAGTAGGTTTTACGGTGACATTAAATAAGATAATGATGTAAAATGCGTAAGAGAGTGTCAGTCTGGCACATAGTAAGTTTTCAGTACAATTCAAAACTTTATTGCTTTCCATGTTCTAATTCCTATCCAAGCCAGCTTCATAACACAAACTAAAAATGATATCTTCATCAGCCTTCAATCGCTTTTCTTGAGTTTATATGCAGACAGGACTTTGCTGATTATGGTACAAAGCAGCTATACTTGTGGCTCTTTCAAGGAATTTACTTCCACAATCACATAGAGATTGATGGACTCATAGAATATAAGCTGGAAAGGACCCTGGGGGCTCTCTGCATTCAGTAATTTTACAGATGAGGAAATAGATTCCCAGAGAGATGAAAAGACTTGTTCAGAATTTCCCAGTTAATTAGTGACAGTGCCAGGAACAGGATCTGGTTTTCCAAAAGCGTAATCTATTGTTCTTATTTATCTACCCTTCTGGTTTAGGAAACAAAGATTATGGTTGAATATCCTGAGTTGTTGGTCAGGATGAACTATTTCAAAATGTTATGGTTTTTAAAGCTACATGGCTAATTGGGGAAAAAATCAAAGTGTATGTATGAGATATCATTAATGGCTAAACAAAATTATAGTGTAGAAGTATGGGTGGTGTTACCTAACCATGGCTAGGAAAGTCTTCCCAAGCTAACCCATAATCTTCAACATTCTCCACACTCCTCTTCCAATTATTTGATGAAGTCTGTTGGCATTTTCTCATTCTTATGCAAAGTGCTCTGTAAACCCAGCTTCAACCCCTTCTCCTTACCCTTGTTCAATTAAATTCATTTCCATATGCTACTCTGATGTAGAAATTTGGGGGCCACTCCTGAGAAGTACAACCACCCTTTTTCTCATATGCTTGCATGTGAATAGATACTGAGAGATTTTAAGAGTTCAAGAGGTAGTACATTTAGGGGAAGGGGAACAGTTAAGTACCTAAGTATTAGAAATTGGATGACAGTAAGTATTAGAAAGTACTAAATGGACATATTGTTTGCTGCAAGTACACTAGCTGTATTTCTAAATATGGCTAGTTTGTGGAGTTTTATAGACTTGTATGGTACTATTAACTCTGTCTGTATTGATCTGGAACATTCCAAGAAGCCAACAGCAGTCACAAAGCCTTGAGAGTCTCCCCATCGCACAAGCTGCAAATTTACATGGCAAAAAAACATCTCAGTAAGTCGAGGACACTGAACTCAATTGAAATAGTACTACACTCTTCTTTTTTTTAGCTTGGATTATTACAACATATAAAATTCCATTATGCATATCTGAGTCTGGCTGTGATACTCTTTATCTGTTTTGAACAAATTCTATAATTGTGCCTTTATCTTATGCAGTTGTATCTCTCAGAGACTCTTTGTGGTTTAAGAAAGATCTAATGAGAGAGAGAGAGAGAAGGAGGGAGGGAAAGAGAGAGCAGGCAGTGGTGAGGAGAGACAGAGAGAGAGAGAGAGACAGAGAAAGAGACTAGATGATAGAGAAAAAACCCTTTTGACCATATTGTCTAGCACAGCGATAGAACATTAGCAAAGCTGTGACTGGCAAGTGTTCATAAACTGTTATCTTCCCCTGGGAGAAGCCAGAGTGGCCATTTCGCTGTGCTATAACTGTAGGTGTTTATTAAAAATTCATTCAAGGCTAAATCATATCATGGAACAATGAATATGGAGGCCTGGATCTGTGTGTCAAAGAGAGGAGGCCATATCAGGGCCTGATTGCTTTATTTAGTGGAGTCTGTGTCAGGCAGACAAGGGGAATGGGAGGTTTCCTTGGAGGCTTTTGTGAAGCTCTGTGCTTCTTCTGGGGGCTCGATTAGAATAATCAGAGGCCTTGGGAAATTCACACGGTTTTGGTGGTGCTGCGATCCATCATCATCCATCATACTTGTGCGCTGGGTGACTGGGGAGCCAAATACCAGGCCGGCGGGGTGGCCAGAGCCTTCTCTGCGTGGCGCTCTCTGGTCTGCAGGGCAGGACTCCAGGAAGCCTGGCAGTGGGAGGGGTGGAGGAGGCTTCAGAGGAACTGGCCCATCGGATCAGCCTGAGCTTGGGGGGCTTCCCCCTCCAGCAATCCCCATAGGCAACAGTGTGGGATCACTGTACTATACTTTTAAAGATTTTTGGATTGTTTGCTTTGGATTTTCTCTGCTTTATGTTTGGCTGGGTTTGTTTGGAGTTTATTTCTAATTTATTTTGAGCTTGTTTTTTGTTTGTTGGTAAGCCTTAAAAATTTTTTTTTAACTCTCTGGATTGTTTTGTTGTTTGGCCTTCTCCCTCTGTGCATTTCCATTGTGGGAAAGATTGGCCTTTGTCATTTCAAATTAGGCAAGACTTGTGTGGTGGTGTGTGTGTGTGTGCATATTTTGCAGAGAGACAACCAATAAAAACTCCAGTTTATATATTTCTTATATCCTTAGCAACTTTTTTCAAACTATTTTTTTTAATCTAGGAAGAAATTTGGCTCTTAGCTATTTAAAAAAATTTTAAAACTCTTGAATTAGTATAGGGTCTAGTTCTATAGAAAAGCATTTATCGCAATATGATCTCAGAGCCAGACTGCCAGAGAGTCCTCTGTGAGACTGGGTTGCTCAACAATGACTGATTTGGTCTCTCAGTTCCCAAGCAAAAATATTTGGCAGCCAAATATGTAAATTTTTATCTATCTTCCATTTTGGGTTTTCTCAGGAAACCAGGGACTGAGTTAGAACTAAGTGCATGTACACTAATAACCAAACTTATAAATCTAAATTTTATTATGTTCATCAGTTAAGAAAATATACTTAAAATTTGTCTTTTTATGTTTCAGAGGGTTAATAGAATTACTAAATTTCAAAACCCAAAATAGAAAAGAAGCTTATTGTTTGATCTGTGTTTTAATCACTTGGGCTTATTAATATAGAGCCCCTGCCATCTTGTTTTTATTTTATTCCATATTATTTTATTTACTTTCAATGGCTATGAAGTGGTAAACACAAGCCCTCCCTAAAAGGGATTTATCGTCATTCTCTTTTCGATGGTGCAAATAAGTCCATAAAATAAATAAGTGTCTTGCAGTTCATTCTTCCTTTTATATTTCTTAAAATGAAAATCCAAAACAGAATGCCTAGAAGTATATTGCAATTTGACAGGATTTGCTTTGTGTGCATAGAGAAAATACGTCTTGTAAAAAAAGGAAGTAGAAGAATATATGTATGTGCTCTGTGACACTATTTTATTGGTGTCTATTGCACCCATTACAATGAGACTCTTGGGATGTTGGACCTAAATTACAATAATCATAAATAATGTTAAACCATAATAAATAAAACCCAACTTCTACCCTCTGTCTGTTTTCCCTTTTCTATATTTTTTCCATCAAGAAAATACACAAGTAAATAATACAAAACATTAATTTGGGGAAGGATCAGATCTCCTTTGGGGAAGAAGGCACATAGGCTGAGGGACCTGTGGGCTGGGGAGCCACCCAGTACTGTGCTCTGGGGATTTAGAGTTCTGGGATGGGAGGATAAGCAGGGAAGAACGCTGTATAGAGAATGTTGATTTTGCAGGATTTCCTGCATATGCACTGAATGAGTTTTAAAAATCATCTTAACAAATTACTTTTCTTGACATTAAGCCACTTTTTTTCTCTCAAAGTTCTCAACAGTAGGAATAAATAACATGTAAGTTGAATTTTGCTTAATAAGTGCCTATCAAAACTGCTGAGGTCAGGAGTGGTTTTGGAGCCTTTCCTGAGGAATACCACTTCAGGCAACACTGAGCAAGGAAAGGGGTGTGTACCTGGCAAACACTTTGTGAAGGCAGTACCTGAGTTAGGATTGCCAAAGAATATTGAACATCGTAAAGTGTAGGAACATAAGGGTGATCAATATAAAGGCACAGCTACTAATGTCAAGCATGAAGTTTGTTAGGGAATCAACATTCCTTAAGAGTCTGCACGATCTAGTGAAGGTGTCCTCTAATGTCTTACCTGGTTTTCTTTTTTTTTTGAGACAGAGTCTCATTCTGTTGCCCAGGCTGGAGTGCAATGGTGCAATCTTGGCTCACTGCAACCTCTGTCTCCAGGGTTCAAGCGATTCTCCTGCCTCAGCTTCCTGAGTAGCTGGGATTATAGGCATGCGCCATCATGCCCAGCTAATTTTTGTGTTATTTTTTCTATTTGTACATGTAAGAATGAAATTTTTTTCCTACCATCCCCATGCTGATCTTCTGATCTCCAGGTTTCCTTCAAGCAAGGGAAAAGCCTGTTGGTTCTGCAGCCTCATTACTGTCTAGATGGCCCAGGGCTCTATGATTGCCTCCCAGGGGCTCAGGGCTCCTGATTCATTGTTCAGTATTCTAATCACTTCGTTGTTCAGTATTCCAATCTTCTCTCTATCTGTGTCCTCAGCCCCCATATGTGTCCCAGTTCCTGGGAGTGGCCAACTTTACCTATCACTGATAAATTAACTCATGACATAGTATATGAGCTCATTGAAGTTTATTTTATCCCCGTTCCACTCCCTTATTGGACTCTCTTTACTTCCTAAATCTCTCCCTGTTATTCTTCATCCTCCAGCATCACAGCCCCTTTTTTAAGCTCTCATGATTTCTGTCATGGACTACTGAAACAGCCTCTGACTGGTCCATCTGCTTTCTGCCAATTTTAAATTTCTCCTCTTTTTTGAATCAGAGTGATCATGCTAATATCCAGTTCTGATCTTTCCATTTTCCATATTGACAATAGGAGGAAGGCCAAGCTCTAGGGTATGGCATGAATCCTTTGATTGTTTGGATCCTCACTGCCTCTTTCTCTGCATGTGCACCTACTCTATTTCTCACTATAAGTCAGACAATACTGAGGAATGCTTAGTCTCATGCACATGCTAAGCTCTTTCATACTTTTCATACCTTTAGATATGTCCTCTCTTCTTTCTAGTAGGGTCTTTTTTTCCCTCATCTTTTCTCTGGGAAACACCTTCAAAGCCACCTTTCTTCTTCAGCTTATTCTTCCCTTCTTGGGTGTGGCCACTTCTTGACAGCCTTCCCTAGCCATTTCTACCCTAAGACAGAATTAATTCCCTCTCTCCACTGAACCTTGGACATAGTTCGTTGATCGTGGGTACTATGTTTTGTTTGCATGTCTTCCTTCTCTACTGAAATGTTGCTCTGTGAAGCCAAGAATGAGGCCAGGTATTTTGGTTTCCAAAGTCCACATTCAGTGTCTGTGTAGTCCATAGTAGGTTTTTAAATGTAAATGGAAATGAATAAACGATTAATGGTCAGAACTCTTGGAGATGATTTTACCTTAGCCCAGAGAAACAATGCTAAGTGGGTCAGGGGTGGGGGTGGGAGAATTTCAGGTATGACAGCAGGTTGATCAGGGCTGTATGTTTTTTGAGTAGGGGAACCTAGCTTAAGGCAGGCCCTTGTCTACTGCATCCATGGAAGCTAAGGGGAGGGATTACGTGAGCATCACGTGCTGTCTGGGGTTTGGCAGAGTGGAGACATCAACGCTGATGGTGCCCAGATCCCGGCACTTAACAGCAGACCCCATAGGTTATTAAAGCTGAGAGCCTATCTAGGAAGATTAGCTGCAGGAAGTGCTTTAACCACGGAGCAAACAGGCAGTCGCTTGATTAGTGCCTCAGACAGGGTATGGCACTGTGGTGTTGGGTTTCCATCTGAACCATTACTGGGATATTTGAGATCTGGAGCTTCAGTTCTAGCCTGACCTTGCATTTGATTTCTGAATCCATACATCAGCAATGAGCCTTGTTTGCTTCTCTTAGATTGCATTTCCAAGCAGTGAGTTTTGTGTCCCCTGTTTCTGGATATCTGAAAAGGATGCTGAGAATTAACCCATATGGTGTTTGTTTAGGTGGGAAATCCTAAATAGCTTCTGGTACTAGGAGAACACAGTAGCAAATATATCTTTACGGTAATGTGTTTTAAATCAAAAGGGCTCCATATTTTCCCCTGTGTTTGAATGTGACATTCTTGATCATTCCAGACCCACCTGTCTGAGAATGCAGGAATCAAAAACAGGAGTCACTCTCGAATTTCACCTCTATTTAATCCATCACAGAAACATACTGGCTTTTCACTGTATATATATAGAAAACCACACCAGGACATTTAAACAAAGTGACACAGATCATCAGCAGATCAACTGGGAATGACGGCTCAATCAAACAAATGTATGTTGAGAATTTCCAAAGGGCAGCTCTCACAGCAGCCAAGCCAAATTTGTTTAGTATACATGAGTTAGCTGCTTAGAAACATTCACTCTGTTGCATGCCAGATGATGACTTTTCTAGGTAAACATCCATTTAGCAGCATATATCCATCCATGAAAGTGTTGGCATGATTTTGATCTATTCTTTTGGACTCCTGAAATTATGATTTCATTCCACTCGTAGCCAAGTACCAAACCCACACATGAACCATTTAGGTTAAAAAAAGGAGGTGGGAGCTATACACTTATTTCAAAATGTAATATAATCATTTGAAAGGTAGGAGAAACTCCATAAAATTGACAGGCCATTTCACTTTTCTGACAAGTAATAAAGTAAGCATCATTAAAATGAACGTCAAATTTCAGGGTAAGGAAGCAGCAGGGAAAATACCTACCTTGTTCTTGGTATTTGGAATAGAATGTTGAGTATTTATCCTACCTCAGTCTAAACTTGGAGACATTCCTTTTTTGGGTAAGGGGTTGGGAGTTTATTTATAATTGGAATTTCATAATCAGATCCCAAGTAAGAAAATTTAGATTCTTCAGAAAAGGGCATTTATTTGTCTTATTAATTCTTCTATTTGAACAATTTACTTTTCTCTTTTAATAGGTGTCACTTAAAGGAAGAAAAACTGTATTGAGCACAATCTTCAAGTCCAAAACAAAAAAGCAAAATGTTTCTTTAAAAAACTCCACAAAAACATAAAACAAAACTTTCTGGCAGAATTTTCAAACTCTAGGCTCATTCTCACCATCTACTTTGAAATCTAGCTTGTGTTGTACAAGGTTTAGCTCAGTACTCTGGTTTATTTATCAAAAGCTTCTCTTTCTGATTCTTTTTCAACTACAAAATTCTCACTTCTGGGGCACATTTGCAAGCAGCAAGCTTGAGAATTCTGTTTTTGGACCAAGGGGTAATTATCTAAAAAGTATTGGAAGAGATCATTGTTTTCCAACTTTAACTTCTTCTAGAAGAAAAGTTGACACGTCACTTACTTGGGCAAGCATTCTGAATGGTCAGTAGTCTACAATTCTAGAAAATACCTCTTCCCGTGGTGGCAATGACTTTTGTAAATGAGAGCTTCCTTTGAAATCTGTCAGATTCAGAGCTAAGTGAGGTACAAAGTACAGCTTTCAAAAACGAAACTCCTCATAATTAACATTTTTGTATTACACTTTCAGTTCTAGGGTACATGTGCGTAAAAGTTGGTTCAATTTGAATTTGAGCATCTAGTGTATTTACAGCCACTGAGGGAAGATATAAAGGTAAATGAAACACAGCCCTTGCCCTAAAGTCACTGGAAATCAAAACGAGGAGATGGACATAAATAAAACTCACTCTAATAGCAACAGGCAATTGACAAAAGGATATGTTTTGAGGTACGTTTTATGTACTTTGTGATCCATAAAGCAAGGAACTCACTCTGGAGCTTGAGGAGATGATGAACATGGAGAGTGGGAACCCTTAACAGATGAGATGACACCTAAATGGGATCTGAAAGGGTTTCAATGTGTAAATCCTCAATGCTGCCTCTTTAGCAAGGCCTTCCATACCTGAAGTAGCCACCCGCACATACATTTCACCCTGCTTTTTCTGCTGAGCACCTAAGACTTTCTGATGTTCTCTATGTGTGTGTTGGTTTAGTTTCCTCCTCTACCCATCAAGCAGTAAGGTTCACAGGAGCAGGAGTATTGTTGGTCTTGCTCACTGCTCTCTCTACAGCTCTCAGAACAGTAGGAGGCCCTCACCAGGAGCAGAGAATGGAGAAGATCAGAAGGCTGACAAAGAAAACAACACAGGGAAGCCGCATTCCAGAGGATATATATGGACACAAAATAGATGGGCACATTGACTGTGACCAGTCACAAAAGAACTTTGTGAGGTCCTCAAAAAGATGTGGCTGATTTTTGTGAAGAAGGTTGAAGAACTCTAACCCTCCTACATTTTTCTAAAATGAATGTCAATCTTGATGACCCAGGATAAAGTATTATTGGGAGATAAATTTAGTACTCATCCATGAACAAGTGTATGATATGTTCTTCAATCCCTTTATCCAGGTTTTTAAAATGGGATGTAGAACATTTTTCTATTTATATTATTATTTATGTGCCCCCAAATGTGTATAAATGAGTGGCAATCTTTAAATCCATAGAGAGAGCACTAATGTTCGTGCATATAGAAATGTAGTGACTTGAGTTTGCAGCAGAATAATCTTGGACCAAGTGAGGATTTGTTGCAAACAAAAGATTTTGTTTAAATATAAATAAATAACAAAAACAATAGCCTGCCATGTTTCCACATGTATTTAACTACTTCTACAATGTAAATTTCACACAGTCCCAAGAATATCATTTATCAAAGCTCATCCCAGGTATTGGGATGAACCAGAAGCTTTCAAAGTGTTGATTGATCACTCTTTGCTAGCAGTTCACTAGGATTACACAGCCACTCCAAAATCAACAGCCCAGAAGAAAATGATACAAGGCTTGGAACAAAGGCTGGAATGTTAGGTTAGCAACTGCCTTACATTGCAGTAATACATCAATTAATATTCATAAAATGTCTAGAGGCATGACCTGGTAAAAGCTCAGAATGAGCTGCCCATGACAATTCAACCTTTTTACCCACAGAGGAATCCTTTCTACTCCTCACTTTCATATAATAGAACTTTGGGAGAATGCTGGGTGGGGTTTGCCTATCTCTGAACCTAACTGAATTTAAAACTCTTGAGAATGTTATCAAGGTCGTGTCATGTATACACACTCTGGGAATATCTGTCTCATGTTCATTCGTCAGCTAAGGTTTTTGGAGGTTCACCAACTGCACCATAGCAATGGAAGAGCATCAAGAAAGTTCTTCATGTTCTTTTCTTTGCCAGGTGTTTCAAAGCACACATTGTTTTTGAAGTGATGGAATGGGATATTTGTGGGAGGAATTGAACTGCCTTATCCAAGATATAGGGAAAGAGATAGGTTAATCTTATGACTTCCCTCATATCCTGCACTTTGGGCTGAAATAATGGAATAGGTTTTCATCGTCTATCATTAAATATTGCTCATTGTTCATTGGCCAATAATGCCTCTTACAAATGTAAACCTTCCTCCAACGTTGTTTAGCCCAAGCTGTTTCCTGCATCGTCACAGAAACTATGGCAGGGGAGTGTTGCGGAATTAGCTCATCTTTTTGTACCATGTCAATGACTATGTTGATCTTGTTCTACATTTGGTTTCAACAAGTGTTTATTGAGAGATTTATTAATAGGGGAGTGGTGGAGAATGAATTGATCATGAACCATTTCATAATCTTTTGCTAGCTGAGTGCAGGTAGACCTGAAAGACAATGACATTTTAGATCTGTCACTTAATAACTTTTGGCATTTGTATATTACTCTAAAGCTTACAAAAGATGCTCAAGAGCATCATTTATTCTGATTCTTATTTATTTATTTTTTTTTGAGATGAAGTCTCACTCTGTCACCCAGGCTGGAGTGCAGTGCCTTGATCTCTGCTCACTGCAACATGCGCCTCCTGGGTTCATGCAATTCTCCTACCTCAGCCTCCTGAGTAGCTGAGATTACAGGCATGCACCACCACACCCAGCTAGTTTTTGTATTTTTTTTAGTAGTGACAGTCTTCACCAGGTTTGTCACACTGGTCTCGAACTCCAGACCTCAAGTGATCCACCCACCTGGGCCTCCCAAAGTGCTGGGATTACAGGCGTGAGCCACCATGCCTTGCTATTCTAATTCTTAATATAACTTGGTGTCATATTTTGAAAACCAGTGTTGTCTTATGGAAATACAAATGTGAGCCACATAGTAATTTTAAATTTTCTAGTAGTCACATTAAAGCAGGTAAAACAAAACAGGTAAAATTAATTTTACTAATATGTTTTATTTAACATAGTGTATCCAAAATTATATTATTTCAGCATGTAATCAATAGACAAAAATTATCAACAGGATATTTTACTTGTTGTATCAAGTGTTTGAAATCTGATTTATATTTTTAAAAATTACAGCACATCCCAATTGGAAATAGCCACAAGTCATGTGCTCTATTGTCATATGTGACTCCTGGGTACCATATATGACAGCATCAAATATGAATAAAGAAACTGAGGCTCAAATACATTAAGAGAATTTTCTGGGGTTATATAACTAGTTTGGTGGACTTGAACCCATTGTGTTCTTCTGGTTTAAACAGGAATTGGCTTGGATCTATGGTTTATAGATTATTTGAATTTCTTGTGATATTGTAAATTCATACTATAGAACAGGAAGCTGCAGATGTTATGAAAAATGATTCTATCAGGTCAGTAAGAATTCTTTATCACTAATTCTAGAAATGCCATATAATTAGTACTTTTTAAAATAAGCTTCATATGGAATTCAGAGGCACAGCCTGGTTTGGGGATAGCTTCTATAGTTTCTGGACTCCTTAAGGCTCATTTCTGTATTCTTCCATTTTTATATTTATTTATTTAACAAATTTTATATTTATTTGTTTATTGAACCTTTGCTATGTACCAGACACTATGCTTGGTGCTGCAAAGGCACCAGTGAAGAAAACACACAGGGTCCCTATCCTCATGAAGCTTATGTTTTACAATCTATAAGGTATGGCTAGTTCATGGCAGGTGCTGCTGCAAATGTTGGTGGAAACAAATTTAGTTGGTAATATTTGACACTGGTTTACTGTTCTTCTTCCTGAAGAACTTAGTAAAAGTCTTGAGAAAAGGACATAAATATGGATTATCCATGTAGAGACTTTTTGTTTGTTTTTTATTCCTTTTTTCTTTTAAAAGAAAAACAAATTTGTTTGAAAAGGTTGCAATGTGAAGAGGACATGATATAAACTCTGAATTGACTGTGTTTGGTTGTTAATCTATCAGTATCTTGAGCATTTGGAGTGTGTGTTTATGTGTGCACATATGAGTGTGTGTAAATTTAGTAGTCACTTTCCCTTTCTTCAGTGGGGCATTTTTACCGTACCTTTAAGCAGACTAAGGACACAATTTGTGTAATGCCTTTTGAACATTTATGTTAGAACTTCCCAATTTAGAGAAGGAGAAAAAGGTACCAGCCAATTTCAGTAAAATTGGTGTGCTTTGGCTGATGTTTTCAACTCAACACAATCACATTGAATCATTGTAATGAACTAGAAACATTGCTGGATCCTGGGGATTCGGCAGTGAAACAGGCACCCATGCTCCCTGCCCTCATCCCCTTATAGTCTAGTGGAGTTTCAGTGGAGGTGTGCTTTAATCATCTTTCATACTTGGGCTCTCTTGAATTTGGAGTGTGCATGATCTTTTTGTGACTCACCAAATATTTATGCAACTTTGTTGCAGTTGTTTATTTGCTCATTTGTTTTGTATATATATTTGACCTGATGTATATAATGCTGTTTCTTGGAAGAATTTATAATACACTTCTTTTCCATCTAGAAAAAAGCAAATTGGCTCAGCTGGTTTTTCATCAGCCAAGCATTTTCATTTGACCCTTTAAGCTATCTAAACTTTGAAGAAAAATGCAGATATGCCCTACTCTTTGAAATGGTGTCGAGATCCAGGAGGGTTAATTTAAAAATTCATAAATCCTTTGTACTATGCAAATTAATGACCTGTAACCTTTTTTCCAGGTGACTTGTTTTGACTTAACTATGTCCAAATAAATATGTTTATTTAGAAGAGTTCAATGCTACCAAAACCTGACATGTTAAGCATCTCCTATGGCTCATAATATGTACCAGAGATGTGGACCACCCTCTGTTTTCTCATTATGTCAAATAATAGAAAGTGGAAATCACTCTAATCCTTTCTTCTGTGTCTGCCGTACCTCTGCAAATATGATAAACTCAATCCAATTTAAAGTCATTACCTCTCCAAGGCTTGGCCACAGTCTATACCCCTTTGTTTCACAATCCTCTTGATTATCTGCCTTCATCACAACTAGAATTTCTAGCCAGCATTCACTTCAGCTTTCTCTTAAAAAAATGGAATATCACTTTTAGAGTTGATCATTGAGGTCATTTTCTGTGCCATTCACTTGACTCTATTTAATGCAGCCTTATATTACATAAGTTAAATCCTCCTGGGCATTTGCCTTATCTCCCCAACAAGATTGTAAGTCCTTTGAAATCAGCAATTTCACTTTATTCTTTTTTGTGACCCCCTCATGGTGATTTACATGTAGAAGTCTTGTTGGCTAAATGATTAATGTTTTGTGGCATATGTTGGATCATAGTTGTTAAGATTTAATAGTGGTGATGAGTATTAAAAACTTGAATGAAGTAGACGTATTAATACAACAACAGCAACAAAACAACAAAGCAACAATAGCAAAAGCCTGTTAAATTATTGTGTATTCTATAGACTTCAGGTATCTTTCCTGTCTCCAGTAGATTTTCTTAACATTATGTGCTTTTGATAGAATTATAACAGTTATAATTTTTTCTCATGAGCAGTCATGGTTCGTATAGATTTACATGGCTTTATCCACAATATATTTAAGTTAGTAAGAATTTTAGGTGTTTAGATGAATAAATTGAAAATTTTCTTGCTTTCTTTAGCTCTGAGATTCTACAATGCTATTGAAATATCTATTTCAATTGATTATCCTGAGGTTTAAGCAATATGATGCCAGAAGATTTTATGTAACTTAATTAGCATAGCTATAGTCTGTTAGAACAAGCAGTTAAAGAAGGTTTACCAGAATAAACTCATAAAAAAATCAGCAAAACACCAAAAAAATCACTGAGATATTGTTTATTCTAGTGAATAACACCTGGATCTAAGTAAGAGTTGTTTTATATCATGTTGATATAAGTGGACAGCAAAATATTTTATGATTATATTACTAAATATGAAGCTCCAAATATGTGAGTTTTGGGTATTCTTTTTTACAAAGCACCTTGATGAATGAAAAGCTCCTTTTTTGAGATCTTTTTTCCCCCATCAAATAAATACAGCTCTCAAAATGAATTTTGCTACTTTGGCTTTTTGTTAAGTTACTTTGATTATTGTATACATAGGTAGAAATTATTTGAGAAAAATTCATTATCTGGTGGGTAGTGTAAGACACCAGAAGACAATAGTACTGACACTTCTCTAAGAACTCCTACTCCAGATTGGTGCCATGCCACTGGAGGTTCCAGGGTGCTCTGGCCAGTCCTCGTTTGAATACATCACTGTTCTGAGATCCATCAGGACTATCTCTGGTCAGTTTGGAATAACTTTCAATTCTAGCTGGAAGGTAAATATTGTGGTTTGGATCATTTGTAGGCTGGTGGGAGTTTCACTGGTATCACAGCAGTCCTACCTATTCACAATAGAACTTCTGGGCCCTTTTCAGTGAAGCAGATCAAGCAGAAATACATATTTAGTTGACATGGGAACTACCCACTACTCTGTGCTGTTTTCTGTTGGCTTACTTTGTAATGGAAATGTGGGCGTGCCATTTTAGAACATGTGGCAATGTTTCATCATTTTATGAGTTATTTGGAAGCATCAGTGAGGGTAGATAATCCCCCCAAAATATTCTGATGCTCACGTTACTATGAAGAGCTTAGTGATACTCAGAAATAAATGTGAATGGCAACTGCGTTTCCACCAATAATCAAAATAAGAGGTTTCTTTAAAGATGTAGTACATATATAGTTCTAGCAAACTTAAGGATAGAGGTTCTACGAGACTGGCATGCCCAATTGCAGAATTACTTATACTCAACTCTTTTAGCACTCAGCACTTTTCCTAACCTCATCTTAGGCCTTATTTTATTTCATTGTCACATACGTTACCATCTATGTCTTCACTACTGAACTTTAAGCTACTTGAGGGCAGACATTTTATCTTATTCAACTCTATTTCTATCCTTAGCAACTTACACAGCTCCAGGCACAACGTGGTATTTATTGAATAAATGTTTTGGAATGGGTAAATGAATTCAAGTCTGAGCAGTAGCATCTTTGGCAAAGATTATCACCTCAACACTTCAATCATCGAATTCCTCTTTTAATGCTAGAAAAGGATTTAAATCTGTGCACTTTTCTAGTCTATCCACAAAATTTCAATTGGAATGTGCAATTGAAGCATTCACACAAAACTAGTGAAGTCTGGGACATCTGTTTAATCCTTCACTTTTCATAGTATGGAGCCTACCAAAGATTTTGAAAGTCAAATGTATATTTATTCCACGGAGGAAACTTTATCAACCAGTGCAAAAGTTTACTGGCACTAGCTGGTGATATAATGGGTAGCTTAAATCCTGCTAACTGCAAATAATTTTTCAACAGTGTTTATGATTGTGGTAGAGTTTAGTGAGGCAGAAGTACAGATAACATAAATATTTCAACAAAAGCCGATTGTACTGCAGCCATAAATAAATTAGACTCAGTTTGTAAATAAATTTAGTTTTTGCCAGCAAACATTTATAATTCTCTCTTGCTGCAAACGATAGTAATTTATATAGAAGAGGCCCTGAATGCATTTTTTTTTGAAAGTCAGTTCCCATTAGAAGGCAGTGCCTGGTGCCCATCAAGTGTCTTAGACTGTGTGACTCAATTAGACATGAAGGATACTGTACAGACCACCTAATGCTACTAGTTATTGTACATGTTGATAATGACAATTTCCAGAGACCATACATAGTTTGGTAGTCTATGAAGTTGTCATATTATATCATTCCCTTAAATACCTAGCTTGTGTTACCACTTAGCAATGTTGAAATTACCCCCTCTCAAATTATAAGTGCTATTTGGTGTATGTATACACATATGCATAGCACATCTGTTCATATTTTTCTGCAAACATTTTTAATCAAAATATATAATGTTTTCTCATACTTAAAAAAAGCAAAAAATCTTCCTTTATGTTTTTCAATGACATTCTCTTCATCTCTGTGGTTTTGAATGATTTTACATTTAATATGATGTGGTATTGGGAAACTCAATATGGGGGCCTTTAGAGCTTAGAATGGGGGCAGAAAATTGCACTCCTTAGCAACATCTAAACTTGTTTAACACTGAAGATACTGTGCTTGCAATGGGGTAGAGTTCAAGCTAAAATTAGCTAAATCAAGGACTCTTTTCCACAGAATCTCTTTAAGATGAGAAATTATTGCTGTCTTTTAGTTACCAAACCTTGTGAGAACAAGGACCATTGCTCATTTTCAAATAAAACATTTTGAGACTCTAACAAAATTTCAATCTTTTGGGCACTCTCTGCTTCTTATCAAACCAAGAGTGTGGTTAAGTTAGTGTTCTATTGCTCGCTCATATTCCGTTTTACCAGCAAGCCATTGCTACAACTCCCTCTTCTGCCAGACATGCATAATTATTTTCTTTTCTTTATGTAAGACTCCTGGCTGTAAGAAAGCTCTTCTGTTTTGTGGTAATAGGGAAGGGTCTGCATCAAGTCAGCTGTGAAAATGAATTTGAACTTACATTTACGCTGTTTATCCAGTTCTCCTGCATGCCTATCTTTGTTTGCCATGTGGTAGAAGGTAGATCTCAATCTCATTTACTTTTTGATCTTCATCTTTTGGGGGTTGTTTTGAATATTTTCACCCAGAATATATTAGAATTATAGCCTCCTTGCTACAGAATGCACACCATCCTCCTTCCTTTAGCGTGTAGCTCCTGAGTTTTGGTCTCTCCTTTGGAGGCAAGAAGGATCTCTGCCAAAAGCCACCAAGCCACACTTAGGTAATTATAATAAACAAGTTGGGGCTCTCATTTCACATGCAGAGCTGAATGAAGCAGAGCTGTGGTCACAGGGATCCCAGTTGCTCCTCCATTAGCAATGGCACATTAATGCTCCCTCATGTCTCTGCCCACCTTTAAACACTTTTTTTTTAAAGGAAGTAAATCCGGTCACTCTTTAGCATGTGAAGGGGTGCAGCTTTCTTCTGAAACCACCATCAACAACATAAACAAATTAGAGGTAGTAAACCACACCTTCTGCCCACACATAAACCACAGTCCTCACCAGAGGGCAGTCTACTTAATGTGAGAATAACAGCCCAGTTTTATAAGCCTCTACTGGGAATAAATTCCAGTTTCACTGGTTAGAGCAAGGTTAGGCAGCTAGAGCACAGTCTCTCCTAGGTTACATGTTGGGAGAGACCAAACCAATTCTCAGAGTGTCTTTCCAGGAAATACATTTTATAAGCTTTTGGCACACCAAATTTTGACCACCTTCTGGTTTCTACTATGTAGAACTGGGATTGCTTGAGTGGAATGGACCTGGGGATGAACTTGTCCAACATGCTTATTTTATGGATAGGGAAACAGAGACCCCAAGCAGCTATGACTCTCAGCCTCTGCCTCTCAAGGTTACTCCAGGGTTCAGCAACATATTGACGCAAGCACAACTCCATGCCAGGACTTGTGACCCTCCTGCTTTCTCCAAATGCAAATGGCATAGTTTACAATCCTCCATCTTGACCCATATGGGAGTTGTAAAATATTCTCTATACCTTCCTGATGCTGATATACTTCCTTTCTTGACAATGGTTAGTCCTCAACTAATGTGTCCAGCCCTAAACTAATGTGTTCCGTCATCAGTAAATTCCTGACTGTGATAGTCTTTTCTTAAATACCTGTTTAAACAGTAATTTAGATAAGAATGTCCCATTTGTGTGCAACAGGAAATGCCTGCCTTCTTTTAGATATGCTGGCAAATAATTACTGTAGATATGGCTGGAATACTGAAAGGCTGTACTCTGGTCATTTCAGATTGCCTGAGGAGTAACCACCCAGTCTGCTGCAGCATGAATTCAGGACGGTTCTACTTTCCTCTAAATGAATCTGAAGGAAAATCACTTTGGGGACATAGAAAGCTTATGAAGAAAAAGCCCATCAGGTCCATCAGAGGTTGCTAAAAGTCTCTCAAAAATTTGTACTGGCAAAAGAAAGTAGAGGCACATAGCTAAAACATAAAAGAAAAACTATCTATCTGATATGTGATAAGTCTGTTCTTACCTGGTCATTCCAGTGGATATTGGTGACGGTGGCTCCTTAACAACAGAATAAGCCAAACATTAACCAGCTCATGTTTTCCTTTGGAATAGTACTCACAGAACTTTAATGTCTTTGCGTTAGCTCTTTTAGATTCAGTAACTAGATACCAAATGGCTTTACTGGTACCTCAAGTATGAATTTTCTAGCAATTTCTTTCCATTACCTTTTGACAAAAGCTTAGTTCCATCTCTGAAGAGAAAGTTTTGGAAGAGGCGAAGCCCATTTTTTAATAGCTTAGGAGTACTAGTTTAATTCCCAAATCATATTTATTTAGTGAAATGTCTGTGAAATTCCTAGAGGAGTGGAAAATCTCTTAACCAGATTTAAAAGCCACAGGACATGCAACAGTATGCCGCAATACCAGGAGAAAAATAAAAGTTTGCTCATTGATTTAGTCCCTTATTTTCCATCCGTATCACATTCTTTGCCATCTCCCTTGCTATCTTGCCCCCAATACTTCCATTCTGAGTCTTTTTGACAACTCGTATATGAAATATTTTTAGGAAACACTGGGGAAAAGTTCCATAAGGAAGACATGGAATAGCATGGTACTATGAAGTAGCAAATACTAAAAGTGCAAGGAAGCTTAGAGGGTCATTAAAAAAATTCTAGTGCCAAGCCATGTTGATAGATTATTTCCAAACATAATGGTCGTATCTAGAGACACGGGTTCTACAGATTCAGTCCAGTGTCCAAACACTCCATTTAAGTCTCTTTTCTTCTCACTCCCCTCTGGAGCAGGACATGCTAAAGACTATGCCCATCAGCAGTTCCCATTCTATTCAATGTCTCTGTTTTCTAAGCCTGTAATTCTGCACCCTTGCTACAGTCCTTCACAGCTTGTTTAAGTCAGTTTTCTGGAAATTCATTTTCCCTACTTTTACTAGTTTCCTTTCTTCGTTTCTTTGGGATCTTAAATTTCATTATCTTGGGGCCATTCTCATAGAAGATTTTGCTGGCCAGTTCATAGCCTCCTTCTTTGTTCTGTTTGTGCATCTGGCATTAGTTGAGCTCCACCCTTTTCCCCAAGCCCAGCACGTGTTTATTCACTGTGTTACTGGTGCAGAAGAGCTGGCTCCCGAAGTCCTCTGCTTTCTCACAAACAAGCCTCTGTAACTGCTCTGGAATTGTCCTAACAAGGGAAGAAGAGCATGTCCAGTTTTAATTTTGTAAGGAAATTGATGTCTTCCCCCTCCCTTCCCTGCCGCACTGTTAGCAGGCATCAGCTCATGGACTTGTGCTCATGTGCTCACGTCCTACCAGGAGGTCCCTAGTGGGGCTTTGAGGTTTGGCCGAGCTGTTCTCCTCCTAGAGCAGGGCACACATCCTCCGCTCTCAGCCACGTGTAATCCTTCCTGTCTGCTTGCAAGTTGGGCACAAAGTACTGGCGCTTGGGCCCACCCTCTTCTTTAGTAGCAATTAACCTTTACTACAGAGCTTCCTTTGAAGTTTGCTCATGTTTTTATTACAAAACTGCAATGAGGAACATAATGGGGGGAAATGTCTAAATTTCTGAGTTACCTAATCTGTTCAATTCCCTAGTTGAGCTCCTCTTGGCAGTTGTTTCATGTAGTTATGATCTCAACCAGTCTGCCTGGGATCTCAAATCATGTTTCTGTCTCAGCCTATTTTTAAGATTAGGGAGCTATTACACACACACACCCCTACACACAGATTGCAAATACACATGGATGTGTGTATTATATGCATATATGTGTACAGTTGAGTATAAATAATTAACTTCTTAATAACTACAGAAATCAGTCTTACTTTATAGTCAAAGTATGTATATATGCTCTTAATATTAAACTTTTTAGTTGCTGAATATTTTCTATCAATGAACTAATGTGAAGAGTAGAGAGAAAAATTATTCATGTTACTATCACTAATGATAATGCTGAGTGATAAGTATTATGATGGGCATTAATGGTGAAACTCAGGATTTTGAATGGCATCTGACCAGATTTGCAGTTAAACTAGGCGGAAAGGCCAAAAGAAACAAATGGTGAGTTATATAAAACCCACAAAAAGAGAAGGCATTTAGGCCAGCCTTGCAAATAAGAACCGAAGAATTACGAGTGAAATGGCATTTTTTTCTAGCCTGCCGTTCACAGGCGCTCAAATAAATGAAATCATTTTTTTTTCTGCTTTTCACTCAGCAGTAAATCACTCATTGGTAATCCAAGGTTGGTAGAAAAGCAACTATGAAACTCAAAGAAAATTCAAGGGAATCTTTTTTTCCCTTCTGTAGGTAAGGACTTTGTAAGAAAAATGTAAAAATCACAAAAGACATATAGACTTAGTTCCATAAAAGTTAAAAAAAATCGAAATACCAAATGGCAAATTGTCTACTAGGAAATTTTAAAATACAATATCCAAGGGCTAATTTATTTATCATTAATAAGACAGACATGAAAGCCTAATTAAAAGTGGGCAAAAACAATGAACAATTTGCAAATAAAGAAGTTTGAATGACAAATAAGAATATTTAGTTTCTGTAATCAACTGAGATGTGAATTAAGCAGTAATAGATATATAATTTTCTTTATTAAAAACAAGACATAATAATAAATGCCAGTATAATTGGTAGAAGTGTAAATTGCTATACACTTTCTGAAAAGCAATCTGTCAATACCCACTAAGTTTTCTTATAGGAATCTAACCTAAGGAAATTGAAATGGATGACAATAAAAATTTATGTTAAGGAAGGCTCATTTTCATGATATTTATGATATCAGAAAATTAGAAGCAACATAAATAAAATCCATGGAAGTAGTTCAGCTGTTGTGGATTCCTATAATGGAATATTATAAAGCAATTAAATGTAGTTTTAGAAAATAGTAAAATACACATAAGGAAGGGTTTATAATAAACTATAATCCAATGAAAAAGTCAAAAGCCAAAGTATTCACACATTATGGCTACGATTTTGATAAAACAAACAAACTTTAAAACATATCTTTAAGGATCGAAAAACAAGTTGCCTAAGAGTTAAAGGGAGGACTGGGTTTGGACACCCAGCTAGTCTCAGCTGACTTTGGATATATTGAATATCAGGTCCTACATCTGGAAAATGGAAGATTATTCTTATCATCATTTTCTCAATGGATTGTTTTGAGCATTAAAATGAGAAAATGTGGATACATCTATGGAAGTTACTATTATTGGTATTATTTCTGCAATTTCTTCTCTTTGAAGGTTCTGATATGTTTCCAAAATGGAATACTTCTGAAGTGGAAACCTATGGTAGTTATTCAAAGACACATATAAATAAATATAATCTAATCAAAATGTGGCCTTTCCCTTGGTCTCTGAGGAAATTAGAACACTTAAAATTTGAATTGAAGAGGTTGACTTCCAAGAGCAATTTCCCAAATCATTTGTCTCAAATCCAACAATATGCTTGTCTTTCTTTCCTCACTCAGTTAATGACATGCCTAAAGGATGCATGAAGCAAATTACAGTAGCAGACAGCTCAGCTCCAAGAAGTTACAAGTGTTATTTATCTTTATGGGACCACTGATATATATGGCACTTCTTACCTGATACTTACCTATTGTAAACGTGCCCAATCTGTCAGTGTGATATCTGAGAAATGCTTTAATTAACTATAGTTATAGCTGAGGGAAAGGATCTACCAATTTTCCCCAATAACAGAGATTTAATGGGGATATGATAATTGAAGTAATTTATCATTTAGATGAAATGTTTTAGCAGCTTTTTGGATAGTTTTTGAGTAATGTATATGGAGGCATTATTTTATTTTGGTTTATGCAAATATTCAATGTGGTGTGATAAACTGCATTTGCTGTTGAAAATTTCATAATGCTAGATTACATTGAAATATTGTTGCATGTTTTGATACGTAAAACTCAGCAGTTTAATATTTTCGCTTTTGTCATCACAGCCTTTTTTACATTTAATTTGGATGATACTAGATTAAAAGTGGCTTCAAAACAAATTGCCTGCACTTGCATATATATTTAGTGCTTGCATATGGATGAATAGGTCCGTGAGTTCTTCTTGTGGATTTGCTTGACCTATGTAAGTTGTTCTTTAGGTTTAATTGTACATTTTTGTCATTGTAAGCAGAATTGCATTCAGGCTTTAAATTCAAATTCTTCTGTGCAGCTGCCTGGGCACACACATGTATTTTGTCTCCACAGGAACTGAAATCTAAATGCACTCGCTTAGATTATGCATTGGGAGAGTTTGTGGGTAATTCAGAGGTCATGGGATAAGCTATGCCAGTGGGAGGGCACAGATGGGCTTGTCTCTATGCTTTTTTTTTTTTTTTTTTTTGAGACAGGGTCTTACTCTGTTGCCCAGGCTGGAGTGCAATAGTGTGATCTCGGCTCACTGCAACCTCTGTCTCCCGGGCTCAAGCAATTCTTGTGCCTCAGCCTCCAGAATGGCTGGGACTACAGGCATGCACCACTATGCCCGGCTAATTTTTTGTATTTTTAGTAGAGATGGGGTTTCGTCATGTTGCCCAGGCTGGTCTCGAACGCTTGAGCTCAGGCAATCCACCTGCCTCAGCCTCCCAAAGTGCTAGGGTTACAGGCTGGAGCCACCACACCCGGCCTCTATCCTTTTTTAAAGATCACTTTCATGAAACTGAAAGTATGACTGATTTGACACTTTGAGGAAGTAGGGGAAATTTTACTGATCTTTAATAGATAATTACGGGAGGAATATTGTTCTATTTATTTTGGTGCCTTTTGGTTTCCTCCCGCTTACATGGACACATTTATAGAGTACACAATGTTTTACAATTTATATTTCTCAAGAAAAACAGAATTCTAACAATGGGGGAGAAATCGCTTTAAGAATGTGTAAAATAACTTTGCATTTGCAGTAGTTGAATGTTACAGTTCTAAAGAGATGTTTTTATAGGTTTTTACCTGTGCTAAGACCATTAATGAGCTTTTAAATGTTAGGTTGAATTGCAAAATCTCCCTGAACGATAAAATTAGATGGATTTTGTTGAGTATGTTTGGACCTTAAAGTATACTTCTCTGATAATATTTCTTTGGAGAATTATTAAAATTGTTTCCTTTGATGTTGGGTTTGGAGAAAAGTGGACAATTCATCATGTTCTATTTCTACAGGTTTAAAGGTGCTTTGTAGGATCAAAAGTTTCCTATATTTGGTAAAAAAAAGTATTGATTTGGATTCATAGTTTAATAAAATTATATGTTAGATTAATTATATATTTAACAAGTGTTTGTTAAACACCTATATGCAGATCACTTGGACAATTCTGAAAAAGTAAGAGTCCTAGCGTCTCCCATCAGGGACCTATTTCCTACTTGGGAATGAAACAATCATACACATTAAACCATAAGCAGCAATGCATGGTATATGATTGCCAAACTGAGGGATAAAATTGTGTAATAATTCAAGGAAGAGAATACTAGTGTTAAATGGGACGGTGATAGGACCAGCTGGAATTTGACTCAGGAGGAAGACTAGAAGTTTGTCGGGCAGAGGTGCAGAGAGAGGAGTGCCAGGCAGGAAGAACTGAAGAAGAAATACTCACTGAGCTCAGAGGAGAGTAGTAAGTTTACTCTAACTTGGGGGTTCCCTTTGAGGAGCATTGAGAATCAGATGGAAAGGAAGAATGGTTTCAAAACCACAGAGATTTTAGTCCAAACCTAAGAGGTTTATACTTTACCTGCAGACACTGGAGATTATTGAAGGCTGTCAAACAGGAAAATTGGTCTGCCAGGAAGGTAAACTCAGCAGTGTTAAACAGGCTCAGTGTTGATGGATAGTGGAAAGAAGCTGGAGGTTGAGACCCATTTAAAGGACTATGAAAATATTTAGGTGTGAAAATGTGGATTTGAAAGAATTGGATGAAGGTTAGAATCTTGCAAGAAGAACAAATAGCATTTAGTGACTGAACAGTTTGGAAGACAAAGGAGAGAAAATGGCTATGTTATTTTAAAGCCTCAGACATGGATAATTAAGGGAGAGATGGTATTCATAGTAGAAAGAGGAAAGTGAACAAGAGAATCAATTTGAGGGCAGATGATAAGGTACAATATTTTGGACATGCTGAACTTGAATGATAATGAGCTTGTATGTTGAGAACCTATGTCCCATAGGTATAAGGTTGGGTTCTGGAATTCAGTTATATGCTTGGTTTAAATGGCATTATCTCAGTGTTTGAACCAAGAACCAAGCACCTCATTAAACAATACTTTTGCATGTGCTATCACTTTACACTTCACAAAACTTTAAGAGACAGGAGTCATTACTTGATGGGCAATTGATGATGAGTGTTATAGTCTGTTACAATAATAAATCTGAATAATGAAGGTCTTCTATCTTCTAGCCCAATAAACTCTCTTAGAAGACTTTAATTGATAGAACTGCGGGGTTGGTAGGGTCTTAAAGTCACCTAGTTTAATCAGCAACTTGATGCACGAGTTAGGGATGATGCATCATCCTTAACTCGTGGTTATCCAGGCTATAGTAGAACACTGATCATGGAGCTGGAGGCAACCCATTTTACCTTCTTTTTTTATTTTTTTTATTTTTTTTTTTTTTTGAGATGGGCTTTCAGTCTCTTGCCAGGCTGGTGTGCAGCAGTGACACAATCATAGCTCATTGTAGCCTTCTCAAGTTCAAGCAATCCTCCCACCTCAGCCTCTCAAGTGGCTGGGACTACAGGCGCATACCACCACACTCAGCTAATTTTTCAAATAATTAACCTTTGACTAGCTCGATCGAAGTCTGTTTCTTCGTAATTTTCATCTGTTTTTCTTAGTTCCTTCCTTGAAGTTCTATGAATCAAACAAATCAGGTATGACTTTCAATTTGTGATCCTAGCAGACAAGAAATGTATTCATTTGCTCTAAGACAACTGAAATCCCCTTTGATTGGTTTCATAAAATCCCCATACAAGTTTCATAGAGGTCTTAAGGTCTCCCACGGTCCACTCGTTTACTTCAAGTGTGGCGCCGTGCTGCCTTGGGGGTCCTCAGGTCCTCCGTGCTCAGTGTCGTAACTCCTAGCTATCCAACCCTGCTGTCTGTTCAAAGGTCTTGCCACCTCCCCAGGTGCTGCTCCGTAAAGATGAGCAGTGCCCCATACAAAGCGTTTCTGATCTCCCTCATTTCTCTGTCTGGAGGAAATTCTCTGTCTTTTTGGTGCATCTCAAGGGACCCTTCCTCTCCCTTTCCCCGCTGGAAAATTTACCCAATTTCTTTAACGATTTTAGCGTTTACGAATACCCAGAGGCATCACTGGCTTCAGGTAACTTTAACTTTCTTCTCTGCATAAGTTACTGAGGCAAGGAAATACCAAGGGCTTGGTGACATGTTCAAAATTGGAAAGGAAATATAGAGAAAGAAAAAACACTAATATTCCAATAAATAATCCTGCCACACACATTTAAGCCTTGTGGCACATGGCAGCCTTTGGAATCTTTGATGACTCTCCTATGTTTATTCCAAGATAACATTGCATGACAAAACTTTCTAATATATTTTAGAATCCTGTCAGCTCCCAATTTGGAATTGTTTGGGGGTTGTAGTTACACACATGTTTAACTTCTTGTCTGTACTTTAGTCAGACCAATAATGAAGTTGCTGATTGTTTCCCAGATGGATAATGAATTGAACTAGCCCATGCAAGTATTGACAATTGAGGATTAGCTCATTTGATTTATGGATTCACCACAGATAAACCACAGAGGCCATAATCTCTAGCCTCTCCCTGGCCTGTAAATAATAAAGATTTTAATGAAGGCACATCGTAACAATGGTCTTTCCTGTTTATCCTTCAAAGAACAACATAATAAGGTGGCTACCCCTGTGGAATTTTGTCTCTTCAATATCAGAAGGAATTCATGAAGTTCTTATTTATTCACAGATAATGAGTGTGTATATGGCAACTACCCTGAAATACCTTTGGAAGAAATGCCAGATGCAGATGGAGTAGCCAGCACTCCCTCCCTCAATATTCAAGAGCCATGCTCTCCTGCCACATCCAGTGAAGCATTCACTCCAAAGGAGGGTTCTCCTTACAAAGCCCCCATCTACATCCCTGATGATATCCCCATTCCTGCTGAGTTTGAACTTCGAGAGTCAAATATGCCTGGGGCAGGACTAGGAATATGGACCAAAAGGAAGATCGAAGTAGGTGAAAAGTTTGGGCCTTATGTGGGAGAGCAGAGGTCAAACCTGAAAGACCCCAGTTATGGATGGGAGGTAAGAATGTATTTTGAGTTAACACATTTATATATTGCAGCTGTGTAAAGAAGAGATTGTTTAAGCATCCACAAAATAAGCAAATTATATTTGTTACAATATGTTTTCAACAGGTTTTTAAGAATAAACTTCCTTTACAATCTCACTTCTTAATACAAACAATGTATTGATTAAAGGTATAGCGTGATAGGAGGGAACCCAACCTAATATATGGTTAAAGAATTGTACTGATTTGAAAAAATACTAAAGGAAGAAGATATGATTTTATAGTTAACGTTTGGAAACATTGGCTATGACCATGTGTAGCATGTGGCATTAGCAAACAAGCATAATCATATGACATGTTTATTGCATTTTATCTTTTTTGGGGTGGGGAGTTGGAGGATTGGAGGAAAACATTTGTTTTCTCTATTTTGTGACTATGAGTTAATTTGGTTTTATTTTCATTTTGTGCTATGTTTTTCTAATATATTTTGCCTCTCTTTTGATAACCCTGCTTTAATTATACATGCTTCCAGAATGTCAGCACTGTACTCATCACTGAATTAGGTTATGGTTCTTTATATTCAAATGATTTAATGAGTAATTTGTGCATCAAAACAGACGCACAAAATGGTTGTGAAAATTAGTCACTCGTTTCAGTCATATTTTTCATAAAATCCATTTGGCAACATCTAAGAATTAGAAGTTATAGTCTGATTAAAGAATCTAAATTAAATTTATTTCAATAAAGACAGGTAACTATGTTATTCTTCTGAGTGTAAGTTTTATACAGATTCAGTAGATATATATACTTTCCATTTATTTCTGTAACTTGAAAACTTTTGTGCTTGAATCATTACATCATAATTTCTGGAAAATCTTGTTTCTATCTGAAAAACTTGTAGACAGTTTCTGCAGGGGTAAGATATTTTTTAGAGATGTGATTGACCTTTGGTTTCATAGCATTTCAGTAGACAGAAATCAGATAAACTGGATTTATTTCGGTATGTTTCCTTAATATTTATGATCATTAATAGAATATCTGGTTAGCTTTTAAATAGAAATGAATATTCAGTGCCTTCAGGACTTAATTTCAACTTTTTGTCCTCTTGCTTTATATGTATCCTCTTGTGAAATCTGTTCAAAATGCCATAATAAAAGCAATTCTTGTTCAAATTCTGAAATGCCAGAATCCGGCTTTGACATGATTCAAGTGGGAAATCCTTCCTTAGTTTCATTCTTAACCATAGCCCCAGTAAAGCTGAGGTTTAGCTGCATTGCCTTTAGACACGTGTACTGATAAGAGAGTTTTTAAAAATCACTGTAGCATTAACTGATATGTGAGTTGAATACGTTTTAAACCAAATGCGTACGAACTTTACGTCATTATTGTTCACCTTAAAATAATGGCTATAAACATTCTAATAATAAGTAACTCATTAAACTTTTATTACAAAATCTCCACAGTTAAGCAACAAGTGCAATACTCATCAAGATTATCCAGAAGGCTTGGAATAAACCACAGCTTAATAATGAAATCACTTTTCAATTACAGGCTTGGTAAATGCAGGACTGTGCCGTTTTAAACATAATACCTATGGATTGGTGGATGAACCTGGGGAAAATTCTGCATTTGGAGGAAATTCAAAAATAATTATTTTTTTCTCCTTGGAGTGAAATGTCTTCCACATATACACTGGCAAATATTTACCTTGAGAAATGTAAAATGATTTTTTTCATTATGTCAAAACTGAGTTGTTTTTATTGCTTGGAATTCAAGACACCTTTATAAAATAGTTCCTGACTTTTTGGCCGAAAATCACATATTCCCTTTCTCCTCTTTCTCCTTCAAGAATTCAGTTGATGGCCAATTCAGTAGCTTTTCCCATCATTTTAACGATTACCCTTCCTTTTGAGAATGTGGCTTGTCTGCTCTTTAGGTATTATAAAAAAACCAAAGAAATGACTTTTTGTAATTTTGGCAAACTTGTTTTCCACAGAGGAGCAGTTGAGCTCTTGATTCTTCTTAGGGTTTTTTTTTTTTCTCTTTTAATCTTACCTAGTTAATACAAAACCCAATCATGATTAGCAAGGGCACTTTCTCAAAGGCATCTCACCCAACCCCTGCCGGATGACTTTTATTTGTCCCCATGTCATCTTTTTCTCAACTCTAGCTGGTTTTCCTCCTATTTAGTTAGAGATAATTGTGATTAACTAGTGTGACCTCTCTTTTTGATATGCCTTCATTTTTGAAAAAAATGATGAAGGAGAAAAAAAAACCTCTTAGGCCTCCTCCCAAATAAATACAGAGAAAATCCATGTTCAGCAAACAATTATTGAGGGACTACTATGCATCAGATTCTGCATTAAATGTTCCCCTAATGGAAACTCAGCCTATCATAACTGAACAAATCATTGCTGTCTCTAGTAGGGCCCTTGCTCTTTTCTTCCTGCAAAGCTCCCCTTCTTATACATTTCCTGTTTTAATAAATTCCATTGCCATCTATCTAGTTGTTCAGTCCAAAAAAATGTGTCATTTTGACACATTTCTCTCCCATATCAACCATGTCTAATTGATGGTTTCCATATTGTATTAAGTCCCCAAACTTACTTACTTACTTTCTTTCTTTCTTTCTTTCTTTCTTTCTTTCTTTCTTTCTTTCTTTCTTTCTTTCTTTCTTTCTTTCTTTTCTTTCTTTCTTTCTTTCTTTCTTTCTCTCTCTCTTTCTTGCTTGCTTGCTTGCTTGCTTTCCTTCTTTCTTTCTTTCTTTCTTTCTTTCTTTCTTTCTTTCTTTCTTTCTTTCTTTCTTTCTTTCTTGTCTTCCTTCCTTGCTTCCTTCCTTCTTCCTTCCTTCTTTCCTTCCTTTTTCTTTCTTTTTTGGTCTTATACTTTAAGTTCTAGGATACATGTGCAGAACATGCAGGTTTGTTACATAGATATACACGTGCCATGGTGGTTTGCTGCACCCATCAACCCGTCATCTACATTAGGTATTTCTCATAATGTTATCCCTCCCCTAGCCCCCCACCCCCTGACAGGCTCTGGTGTGTGATGCTCCCCTCTCTCTGTCCATGTGTTCTCATTGTTCAACTCCCACTTATGAATGAGAACATGCGCTGTTTGTTTTTCTGTTTCTGTGTTGGCTTGCTGAGAATGATGGTTTTCAGCTTCATCCATGTCCCTGCAAAGGACATGAACTCATTCTTTTTTATGGCTGCATAGTGTTCCATGGTGTATATGTACCACATTTTCTTTATCCAGTCTATCATTGATGGGCATTTGGGTTGGTTCCAAGTGTTTGCTATTGTGAATAGTGCTGCAATAAACATACATGTGCATGTGTCTTTATAGCAGAATGATTTATAATCCTTTGGGTATATACTCAGTAATGGGATTGCTGGGTGAAATGGTATTTCTGGTTCTAGATACTTGAGGAATCGCCACACCGTCTTCCACAATGGTCGAACTAATTTATACTCCCACCAACAGTGTAAAATCATTCCTATTTGTCCACATCCTCTCCAGCATCTGTTGTTTCCTGACTTTTTAATGATCGCCACTCTAACTGGTGTGAGATGGTATCTCATTGTGGTTTCGATTTGCATTTCTCTAATGACCAGTGATTATGAGCTTTTTTGCATATGTTTGTTGGCCACATAAATGTCTTCTTTTGAAAAGTGTCTATTCATATCCTTTGCCCACTTTTTGATGGGGTTGTTTGTTTTTTATTTGTAAATTTGTTTAAGTTCCGTCTAGATTTGGGACATTACCCTTTGTCAGATGGATAGATTGCAAAAATATTCTCCCATTCTGTAGGTTGACTGTTCACTCTAATGATAGTTTCTTTTGCTGTGCAGAAGCTCTTTAATTAGATCCCATTTGTCAATTTTGGCTTTTGTTGCCATTGCTTTTGGTGCTTTAGTCATGAAGTCTTTGCCCATGCCTATGTCCTGGATGGTATTGCCTAGGTTTTCTTCTAGAGTTTTTATGGTTTTAGGTCTTACATGTAAATCTTAATCCATCTTGAGTTAATTTTTGTATAGGGTATAAGGAAGAGGTCCAGTTTCAGTTTTCTGCATATGGCTTGCCAGTTTTCCCAACACCGTTTATTAAATAGGGAATCCTTTCCCCATTTCTTGTTTTTATCAGGTTTGTCAAAGATCAGATGGTTGTAGATGTGTGGTGTTATTTCTGAGGTGTCTGTTCTGTTCTATTGGTCTACTTTATCCGTTTTGGCACCAGTACCATGCTGTTTTGGTTACTGTAGCCTTATAGTATAGTTTGAAGTCAGGCAGCGTGACACCTCCAGCTTTGTTCTTTTTGCTTAGCATTGTCTTGGCTATATGGGCTCTTTTTGGTTCCACATGAAATTTAAAGTAGTTTTTTCTAATTCTGTGAAGAAAGTCAATGGTAGCTGGATGGGATAACATTGAATCTATAAATTACTTTGAGCAGTATGGCCAATTTCATGATATTGATTCTTCCTATCCATTAGCATGGAATTTTTTTCCATTTTTTGTGTCCTCTCTTATTTTCTTGAGCAGTGGTTTGTAGTTCTCCTTGAAGAGGTCCTTCACTTCCCTTTTAAGTAGTATTTCTAGGTATTTTATTCTCTTTGTAGCAATTGTAAATGGGAGTCCACTCATGATTTGGCTCTCTGTTTGTCTATTATTGGTGTATAGGAATGCTTGTGATTTTTGCACATTGATGTTGTATCCTGAGACTTTGCTGAAGTTGCTTTTCACCTTAAGGAGTTTTTGGGCTTAGACGATGGAATTTTCTAAATATACAATCATGTTATCTGCAAACAGAGACCATTCAACTTCCTCTCTTCTTATTTGAATACTCTTTATTTCTTTCTCTTGCCTGATTGCCCTGGCTAGAACTTCTAATACTATGTTGAATAGGAGTGGTGAGAGAGGGCATCCTTGTCTTGTGCCAGTTTTCAAAGGGAATGCTTCCAGCTTTTGCCCATTCAGTATGATATTGGCTGTGGGTGTATCATAAATAGCTCTTATTATTTTGAGATACGTTCCATCAATACCTAGTTTATTGAGAGTTTTTAGCGTGAAGGGCTGTTGAATTTTATCCAAGGCCTTTTTTGCATCTATTGAGATAATCCTGTGTTTTTTTTCATGGTTCTGTTTATGTGATGGATTATGTTTATTGATTTGTGTATGTTGATCCAGCCTTGCATCCCAGGGATGAAGCCGACTTGATCGTAGTGGATAAGCTTTCTGATGTGCTGCTGGATTCAATTTGCCGGTATTTTATTGAGGATTTTCGCATCAACATTCATCAGGGATATTGGCCTGAAATTTTCTTTTTTTGTTGTGTCTCTGCCAGGTTTTGGTATCAGGATGATGCTGGCCTCATAAAATGAGTTAGGGAGGAGTTCCACTTTTTCCATTGTTTGGAATAATTTTGTAAGTAATGGTACGAGCTCCTCTTTGTACCTCTGGTAGAATTCACCTGTGAATCTGTCTGGTCCTGGGCTTTTTTTGGTTGGTAGACTATTAATTACTGCCTCAATTTCAGAACTTGTTATTGGTGTATTCAGGGATTTGACTTCTTCCTGGTTTAGCCTTTGGAGGGTGTATTTGTCCAGGAATTTATCCATTTCTTGTAGATTTTCTAGTTTATTTGCATGGAGGTGTTTATAGTATCTCTGATGGTAGTTTGTATTTCTGTGGGATTAGTGGTGATATGCCCTTTATCATTTTTTATTGTGTCTACTTGATTCTTCTCTCTTCTCTTCTTGGTTAGTCTGGCTAGTGGTCTATCTATTTTGTCAATTTTTTTTTTAAAAAACAGCTCCTGGATTCATTGATTTTTTTTTGAAGGATTTTTCATATTTCTATCTTCTTCAGTTGTGCTCTGATCTTAGATTATTTCTTGTCTTCTGCTAGCTTTTGAATTTGTTTGCTCTTGCTTCTCTAGTTCTTTTAATTGTGATGTTAAGGTGTTGATTTTAGATCTTTCCCACTTTCTTCTGCGGGCATTTAGTGTTACAAATTTCCCTCTAAACACTGCTTTAGCTGTATACACACTGTTCTTTCTACCTGGGAAACTGTTTTCCTCCCCATCCTTAGCAAGTTTCTATTCATTCCTCAAGTTTGCTTCTTCCATAATATCATCTATGACCTTTCTTTCTTCCTCTTCTTTTCTTTAGAGACAGGGTCTCCCTTTGTCTATGTCACCCAGGCTGGAGTAGTTTGGTGGTATGATCAAAGCTCACTGCTGAGCTAAAGCCATTTTCCAGCCTCAGTCTTCCAAGTAGCTAGGACTACAGATGTGTACCACCATGACTCGCTAATTAAAAAAAACATCTTTTGTAGAGATGGGGTCTCATTATGTTGCCCAGGCTGGTCTCAAACTCCTTTCCTCAAGTGATCCTCTTACCTTGGCTCCCCAAAGTGCTGGGATTAAAAGTATGAGCCACCATGCCCAGCCTTATGTTCTTTCTAATTACAATATATTACTACCTAAATTTTGTCCCACCAAGAAAGGTGGATCCACTTATTAAAGATGAGGGTTATCTTATGTTTTCTTCTAAAGATAGCCATTATGAGACAACGTGAGAATTGCACGCAGAGCAGTAGAAAGCAGGCTTCTGGGGTGAACTTCTTGGGCTGAAAACACTAAAACATTGTGTAGTATCCAGATTATTTACATAGCTTCCCTAACAAAGCAAGAGTTCTTGAGAGCTTGCAAAGGTGTATTCTCCTAGTGCAATGTTTTGATTGTGTTCCATATATTTTTTTAATCCCTGTGGCACTATTCTGAAAATAGTGCCATTAAATGAAATAAGCAGACTGTATTAGTCAGCTTGGGCTACTGTAACAGAATACCATAAACTGGGTGGCTTAAACAATAGAAATTTATATTCACACAATTCTGGAGGCTAGAAGTTCAAGATCAAAATTCCAGCTGCTTTGGTTTCTGGTGAGCGCTCTCCTCCATGCTTGCAGACAGCTGTCTTCTCATCTCATCCTCATATAGCCTTTCTTTGGTGTGCATAAGCAGAGAGAGGGTTGGGGCAGGTGGAGAGAGAGAGAGAGAGGGAGAGAGAGAGAACAAGCTCTCTGCTCTCTCTCCTTATTAATATAAGGACACTAATCCTATTGGATTGGTGACCCTCTCTTGTGAACTTATTTAACCTTAATTACATCCTAATGGCCCTATTTCCAAAAATAGCCCTAATGGGGGTTAGGGCTTCAACATATGGATTTTAGGAGGACACACACATTCAGTCTATAACACAGACATTCAACAAATAATTGTTCAATAAATAAATGAGTGAATGAATGGATAAATGAAAGAATGGATGGATGAATATAGGATTATGTGACTCTGAAAGAGGAGGCAAGGAATGAGAGCTGAAGTAGTCCATGGACAAATCTAGAACCTGGAATTCAGACATGTATAATCCAGTCTTGCTTCTGTCACTAACTGTGTGATTCTAGGGAAACTACTCCAATTGAATGGTCCCTGCTTTTTATTTGGTCAATGGGTCAATAATAACTGCCTCATGATACCCCATTTTCCATGATGTGATTATTATGCATTGCATGCTTCTATCAAAATATCTCATGAATATATTTGCCTACTATGTATCTACAAAAATTAAAAATAAAAACTTAAGAAAAAACTGCCCCACGTCATTAGCCGTTATATAATCAGAATTGAGTAGAGAAATGTGGTAGTCTCTTCAAAGAAAATTTTTAAAAGAGAAAGGTCAAAGATAACATTATAAATAGGGGCCATCTTTCTGAACTTTATTTAAGAATAAAAAATTGAATATATTTCCCAAGTAAGGTACTTTGGAAAATCCTTTGTTTATATGTTAGAGAAATAAGATACTTTTGAAAATATAATTTATAGACCAAAATATATGGTCTGGTAAAAATAAGCTATAGATACCAGAAACATCATTTGTATGATTTTCTCTCAAACCAGTATTTATCCAACCAAGAGAAACTTTAAAAATAATATTAGAGTTTGGCAGCAATTGCCACCTCACAATGCATGTGACTTCTCTCCAACAAAAAGATCTTTAAAGACTTGGAATGTGCTTGTCTAAAGGACTTGAAAATAATTAGTGATAGAAAGCTTTTTCTCAGGTTATGAACTTTAGAGTTACGGATTGATTAAAATTACTGAGTAGAAATAACTTTTTAGAGTTCTGTTGGTTCAGGATGAGGTTTTTCTCATGTTTCCTTCTAAAAGTGCCCACAATGTAGTAACATTGTAACTGCATGCGGAGCAGTGGGAAACAGGCTTCTTCTGGAGTGAGACTTCCTGGTCTCAAGTCCTCCTCAGGGGTCCTGTGGGCTTGAGTGATTTGGGAAACTTTAATTATCTGCCCCTCAGTTTATTTACATGTCACGTAGGAATAATAATTGTATCTAACCAATTAGAGTTGTTGTAAGGGTAAAATGTGACATTGTGTGTCAGGAGCTTAGCACAGAGCTGGCAGAAGAACCCAATAAATGTTAACAAGACAACAGCAGAAGCAGCTTGGCTAAAATGCAGATCTAGCATAGGGTTATTAGGGCAAAAGCCAATTATTATATTTTATCGATTGATTTTTATAAGTTATTGCTCTTTTTCCAATTTCTTGTTTCCTAGAAGTTCAGTTATCTCTGGATGGTCTAATTATTTGACTCTGGGTTGGTTTGAAATGGAAGCACTGACCGTTTTCTAACTAACAATGAAAACGAGGGTTCAGGAGAGATCACAAACTTCTTGTTTACGTGAAAGAAAAATTTAGGTGGCTTAGTTTGTAATACTCTGAGATAAGCCATTGAAAAAAGTAAAAAGTTTGCTTCTTTAAAATATTGCCTTGTGGCACATTTTCTTTGCTGATCTTTATTATCATTGGCCATTACAAAACTCTGCAAGTATAAGTCAGTTGTTGATGCACCTGTCATGTGCCAGACCCGGCTTTGTGTTCATCTCAGCCAGAATTGCTCCAAATTAGTTTAATCAGTTAAAATATTGGCTGTGAACTTAGTTTTCTTCTTTCGAACATACATACATTTACACATAGAACATAATGACATGAGTAGAGAGTGAATATCTCTTATGCTGTGTTAAATAGGTGGAAAGGAATAGTGGAAACAGATTACACTGGAGTCAGAAATTCATTAACTAATTTTGAATCAATGCTTGGGCAATACATTATGTTCCAACAATGTAATCCTAAAATGTGATATTACAATGAAGATGTGCTTCCTTGTGTCATTTTAAAAATAAATAGTTCTCACACTTTTAAGTTTGATTTTAGATTCTACAGTGACACCTTACATATTGAAACAGGCAATCTATGTTAACTAAGACAGGAATATTCATTAAAATGGCAACAACAGCAACATTGCACTTCTAAGATACCTAACAACGGTGGTCAGCATCAGGAGGCTGACAAATAATGTGTGCTTGATAATGAAGAAGAATGAAATAATTTGAGATTTTAGACATATGCAACAGATTTTTTGTGTTTGTTTTATTTTTTATTTTTTGGCTTTATTGAGGTATAATTGGCAAATAATAATTGTATACATTCAAGGTGTACAACGTGATGTTTTGATATACATATACATTGTAAAATGATTACCACAATCAAGCTAATTAAGATACCCATCACCTCATGTAGTTATGTGTGTGTGAGTGTGTGTGTGTGTGTGTGTAGTGAAAATACTTAAGATCTACTCCCTTAGCAAATTTCATGTATACAATACATTATTATTAACTATAGACACAATGCTGTATATTAGGTCTCCAGAATTTATTCATCTTACAAGTGCCAGTTTGTACCCTTTAACCAACATCTCCCCATTTCCCCTACCTCCTAGTTCTTGGGAACAACCATTCTACTCTCTGTTCCTATCATTTTTTACTTTAGATTCCACATATAAGTGAAATCATGCAGTATTTGTCTTTTTGTGTTTGGCTTATTTCACTTAGCATAATATCCTCCAGGTTTGTCCACATTGTCCCAAATGGCAGGGTTTTCTTCTTTTTAAAAAGCTAAATAGTATTCCATTGTGTATGTACCACATTTTAAAATGATTCATCCTTCGCATTCAGGTTGTTTCTATATTTTGGCTACTGTTGATAATGTTGCAGTCAATGACTATGTGAGTGCAGACATCTCATTGAGATGGCGATTTTATTTACTTTGGAAATATACACAGAAGTGTGATTGCTGGATCATAAAGGAGTTGTATTTTCAATTTTTTGAGGACTGTTTATACTGTATTCCCTAATGGCTATTCCAGTTTAAATTCCTACCAACAGTATATAAAGAGCCCCTTTTCTCCACATCTTCGCCAATAACAGTCATTCTAACAGCTGAGAGGTGATATCTCATTGTGGTTTTTTGATTTGCGTTTCCATGATGACTAGTGATATTCAGTATCATTTCATATACTTGATCGCTATTGTATGTCTTCTTTGAAAAAACATCTATTCAGGTCCTTTTTCCCATATTTAAATTGAGTTATTTTATTATTAATGTTTTTTGCTATTGAGTTGCATGAGTTCCTTATATATTTTTGGATATTGGCCCCTTACCAGATATATGGTTTGCAAATATTTTCTCCCATTCCATAGGTTTTCTTTGTTTTTGTTGATTGTTTCCTTTGCTTTGCAGAAATTTTTAGTTAGATATAGTCCCACATGTTTATTTTTGCTTTTATTGCCTATGCTTTTGGGGTCATATTAAAAAAAATTATTGCCAAGACCAATGTCATGGAGTCTTTCTCCTATACTTTTCTCTGTAAGTTTTATGATTTCAGGTTGTAGGTTTAAGTCTTTAATCCATTTTGAGTTGAGTTTTTTGTATGGTGTGCGATAAGTAAGGGTCAAATTTTATTTTTTGGCGTTAGATATTCAGTTTTCTCAGCACCATTTATTGAAGAGACTACCCTTTCTCCATTGTGTGTTGTTGGCACCCTTCTTGAAGATCAGTTGGCTGTATATGTGTGGCTTTGTTTCTCGGCTTTCTATTCGGTTCCATCAGTCTATGTGTATGTTTTTATGCCAGTTGCACTAGATGTCTTTGAATAACAGTATTTCTCCCCTAGGACCCTTTAGGTTGGCTTGGGCACAAAATGAATTTTGACTGGTTTGGCATTTATTTCAGGGAAAAAGTTTAATTTATTTATGAGAAAGCAAGTGCACTTGACGTGTTGCATACTCTTAACACTAGATAACTAAGAAGTGAAGTCTTAATGGTTTTAAAATGAGGAGGAAGACTACCAGCTATCCAAAAGATTGTCTTTGATGTGTAGTTAAGAAAGAGAAATGTAATATAATAACAAATGTGTATTACTATAAAAGCCTACATTACAAAGTATTTATTAAGCTTTGCAATATTGTTTTTAAAATAGTAAATATAGTTTGGATATTCAATTTTATCTTGTGAGAAATTAAAAACAGAGAAAATGCCAAGAGAAGTGAAGATTAGTTAATGGGACCCTGAGTTTGAACGTCATTAGTGCCCAAGGAAATATTACAGATTCTCTTAGAATATAATGAAATAAAAAAAGAAGGCTGGGTGAGGTGGTTCATGCCTGTAATTCCAGCACTTTGGGTGGCTGAGGTGGGAGAATCATTTGAGCCCAGGAGTTTGAGACCAGCCTGGGCAACATAGTGAGACCCCATTTTTACAAAAAATAAATTAAAAATTAGGCTGGCATGGTGACACATATGTGTAGTCCCAGCTACTTGGGAGACTGAGGCAGGAAGATTGCTTGAACCCAGGAGGTCAAGGATGCAGTGAGCCGTATTCATCCTAATGCATTCCAGCCTGGGCAACAAAGCAAGACCCTGTCTCAAAAAAAAAAAAAAAAAAAAAAGGCTGCAATCAAGTTTATAGACATTTACCCTCCAGAAGCACCATGGACTGTCTCTGGTTTTGGCCTGGGCTCAAGAGGGACCTTCTTTCTTATGGAAAGGTCAGCTGTCCCCTTTCCTACATTCACATATGCTCTGTCCATACCATGAGGCTTGCTTGCCTTATTCTTTCTTCTATGAAAGATGTCAATGAAGTCCAGCATGTCTATTACTCTTACTGCTGTTTGGGCAACCTCTAGTACTTCCAAAGTGAAGTTGGTGAAGTGGAAAAGTCTGATGTCCAAATTTAAGAAAATTTCCTCAAGTATGAGGAGTCTTCTGTTTTGCTCTGTCTGCCTTGGTGATCAACCAGAATTTGAATGTGAATCAATCGTTTTTCAAAGGAATGTTGGGTGATTTGTCTTCCGGTTAGGAAACCTCATATAAATTGTTTATCCCAAAACAAACCCTCATGAGTTTCTTTCTTATTATTAACCCCCATACTTGCATGATTATTGCTTCCCTCTTTGGCCACTAAGTCAATAGTAAAACTCACAATAAAATATTCAGGAAAGAGCCTCTTTTAATAGTTTTGACAGTTGTCTAGGATTTGGCAATTATAGGGACAGAGATTCTTTATGATGCTTAATATTCTAGAATACTTAATTGAGACCACTGCATCAGAATATTCTATTCTCTATGCTTTTTCCTTGAGGATAAATTAAGAAGCAGTGAGAAGTAATAGGAAATAACCAATTCAAATCTATCTTAGAAGGATAGGAGTTGGTTCAGCTTCTTTGCTCCCTAGTTGTTTCATCAAATGAAGGTAGCAACATGAAGAGAATTTGTTCCAATAATGATAAGTAGGTAGCATGAAAAAATGGGGAGTAGGAGGGGAACTGTACACTCTTCCATTTGAATGATAAATAAAAATTTTTATTAATGTAGTATCTTAACATCTCAAAGTTTATTTACATTGATAGAATCATACAATCATTTTGATAAAATGCTTCTCTTTATACATAATTCTGTCCAAGGTAGTGATTTTTAAAATGAATTATTTCAGCTATAGGCAAATTCAGTAGATAAATACTATGCTCACTTTTGCCCTAGAACCTCTTTTGGTCTTTCATGATGTAACCGAAACTGAAGATTGGTAAAATATTGTGTGCTTTTTAAGATTATTTTCTGCATGTTAATTAGTAGAATTGTCAAGCTAAAAAATCACAAAGGGCAAGAATTGGTCAACTATCATTAGAACAAGGAATAATATAAAGAGACGTGTGCAAATAGACACCAAAAACTACGTCTTTAAAGTTGATATTCGATATAAGATGTTCATAAAGCACAAGAAATTTGACAGTACCTTTGTTTAAAAAAGATGCTTGCACTGATGGACGGTAAAGCAAACATTTCATAGAAATAGCTTATCTCACTGAAGTGCTCCACAGCATAGTGTGAGCTGGGTCCACATGACCTAAGGAGATCTCACAGGTATCTTCTCAGAGGAATATACATGCCTAGGAACCAGACAATCAGCTTCAAGAACAATTGAAAGTTAATTGTATTATTGTTGGCCATGCCACCCACTGCCAATAGACTACTTGCAGATCCAGCCCCTTTACACTGTTGAGCATTTATTCCACCAGCTTTCAGACCCGACTTTTATTCCACCAGTAGAGTGCTGCTGAAGATACAGAAAATAATTTGTTGATACTTCTTAATCTAATCCTAGGAAGTCAGCCATAGAATGTCACCTGATACAGAAACAATGTTTCTAGAACCCACACTGCACAATCTTGTATACCATCCCCTACGACACACACAGGCAAATACACATGCCTTCTTGCTTTTAAATATTTATCATTTTGGAATCGACCAGTACTGTATTTGATACCTGATGCTTTCTTTAGGTAAGCATATAAATCTGGGTGCCTTATAGTTACACCTTGGCAGTAACTACAAAAAAAATTGTTTAAGGTCCATCAACTTCTGCCTACCCCCACAAAAAAAAAATTAAAAACCAAATCACATCTTTTCTAGAAACATCACAGGGGAATTCCATGACTAATGTTATGCAAAACTTAAATCCACTATCCCTGTATATTTCTGCAATTCACTTTCTTAGTCTTTCAGTATCTCACACATCCAGCAGGTGCTGCTTTCAGACTCTCTCCTCTCAAAATTCTCACTCTCCTCATAATCCAGCACTCTGCATTTCTGTTTTTTCAGTCATACAGAGACACTTATTCAATATAGTCTTTTTCTATTCTCTGGGTTACCCAGCGACTGGATTTGGCTAATAAAGGAGGACCTAAGAGTTGATGCAAGAAGACTCCTTCTTCCTGGGGGCACAGTGCGCAGCAGATAATGATTACAGTTAGCCTCTGCTCTGAAATCTCTTTTATTCTTGCCATGCCTACACTTAGGGTTTTCCTTTCATAGAAGATGTGTGTGTATGTACTTTCTATGGCTATTGGCCAGTCAGTTCATGTCACAGACCCATGGGAGATGGATGCTTTGTGCCTCCTACCAACTGGCTGAGAGTGTTGTTTTCCTCTGACACTGCAGCTGACCTCACAGGCTTCCCAGGTGTGCATGGCATGGCAATGAAACCTCACTGGTTGGCAGCCACAGGTGTGCATGATTTGTTTTTTCTTTTTTCGTTGTTTAGATTCTTGTGGTAAGAATTCAGCAGGTGTGTGATGCCAGCATAGAATCTCCACCCTGGCACAGAGGCCAGCTGCCCTCAAAAAAAGGTATTTCTTGTTGGTCTCGCAACACTACTGGCCTGAATCCCTGTTTTCCTGGAAGCCTCACCTAAGGGAAAGACTCTGACTAATGAATTAGGATAAACTAATCACAGATGAACATGAAGCATTTTTTCAGATGAGTATGAGTCTCCTTATGTGAATGTACTGTACGGGTAGGAGCAGGTTACCTGGCTTTGAACTCAAGTTTTTTTTTTCCTAGTTTGAGGTAGTATTATTGCAATTATAGGGATGTAGGAAATCCTGGACCTGGTTTCCAAAGGGATATAAGCCATCCTAGAGTGCTGTTGTTGACATATAAATTTCTGCTCACGTGATTGAGACTAAACAGTAGGAGCACAGATGGAGAGTGATCCTGTGTGGAGTTCTTCCATCTTCCTGGAATCTCCCCAGGAAGTCACCAACCCTGGGACCCAACCAGTTCAGTATAGGGCAAGATAAATCTGAAGGTCATTCCAGACCTCATCTAGCCTTAATGAAGGGTGGGGAGAGATTAGCTACAGTAACACTGTTTGAGAGAACCAGAGAGCAAGAGAAGGAACGCAATTGCTGTCAGTCTAAGTCAGCAGTGTAGAGCTGAAGCCGGTTAACCTTTTCCAGTCCTCTCTCTCCATTACCTTACTAAGGCTTCTCTTGGCTAGGTCATGATATCTAAAGAAATAGATGCTTGATAGATAAATACCTAAAGAAACAGAAACACACACCTTAGATTACTCAGTTTTCCTTTGTCACAGACCCTTTCCCAATTTTTCTCTTTAGAGTGTCACTTGGAGTTTATTTGATGTTGTTTTTACTTGCATACACATTTACTTGCACAGGTGGGGGCTTAGAGGGCAGGGAGACCACATACTGATTTTCCCTCTGGACTCCCACACCTCTCTGAATATAAGCACTGGTGAGGAATGAGTCAGGAATATTGCCCCAGAACATACCCATATAGTATGGATATTAAATAGAAATACAGAAGCTTGATGCCATTTTGCCTTCATCTCCAAAAGTAAATCTAATTGCTAATTCCCTTAGGTAATAGAAATGTACCACAATGCCATGGTGACACAGGTCAGAGAAGCATTTGTTCCAAAGAGCAGCAGATGGGATCTATAAATCATACTTGGGGAAAGGAGGTGTCACATGTGAGTATCGGATAGTCAGTAGACTAGTCTCTGTACCTGCATCTTAACTTTTACAACACAGATATGTATTTTAACATGCACTCGATATAGAGTCACTAGCTGAAGAGAAGCGACTATACTAGCCCAGGGAAGTAAAGATTAAACATCATATGAACTGTTAAAATCAGTTTTACGTCTGTTATCCTTTTGCAATGCTATTTCATATCCGTCTTTAGCTATTGCTGATGTGTTAATTAGAGCATCCCTTAAGACTATAGTTCTTCTATAGTAACAAATAAATAAGATAAAACCCTTACACTGAGCCCCAGGATTGAGAAGGGTCAGCGGTATGTCTAACACTTGCCTAGAGCTTACTTTATATCCAAGTCATTATCTCCTGTAAGAGACAAGGAGAGATAAAAATAGATTTCTTGCCCAATGGATGATACTCAAGAAGAAAAAGAATTATCATTATGTTTAATAAGAGAACTGACAAGCAATCATAATTCTTTCCATTAAGTAAATATGTTAGAAAACATTTATTATGAAATGACACATTATGCAAGCCAGGAATCAAAGATGACATCCTTGCATTAAATACGGTAGATGCCATTAAGGAAAACAGTCAATATGTCACCAAGCCATGGCCTGTAAAAATTAAATTGATTTGGTAAATGTAAGTAAGATAGATCTGTTTGCTTTCATCATCAATTTTGAGTGGGTGAACAGGTGATGTCACCAACCTGGGAGCGATAAAGATGCAGGACCATCTGGAAAGGCAGGTGATGAATGGGCAACTGCTTTTGGATAGTGACAGTGCTGTGGTACTTTGTCACTTGGGATGCAGTACTTAATAACTTTTCAATGCCATCATAATAAATTTCACTGCCTTATTAATATAGAAATGGTGAGTTATTACCATGATGGTGAGTGTAAATAACGGGAGATGCAGCCGTCAAAAGCTGATTGTTTGGGCATGTTTCTTTAAGCACACAGTTGACTCGTGATAATCAACCTATGTCTATACCAGTAGAGTTTATTGCACTTGTCAAAGGAAAAAGTAGTATTATTTAAAATTATATGAAGCTGTAATAAACAAGTTTAATATATTATCAGACTTTTCCTGTAAGTTTCCAAACATGAGGCAGTAAATCATTTTTGATAATGTCTTTTCATGTAAAATAATGTCCTTATGCAGTAATAATGTCCTTTCTTAACTATTAACAAAACAGTCGACTTCTTTCTATGTGTTTTAAAGGGTATTTTTATTTGTACTTTTCAATCATTGGAACTCTGTGGAATGAAACCCTTTTGCAAATAAAGAGCTAAGGCAGGAACCTTAGAACATTTCATTAACAAGCTCAAAAGTTGCTGAGTACAGGCCATGTCACACGTTCCCATTTTAATTGAACAGATGTACTTAAGAGTAAACCACAGCAAACGCAATACAGACAAAATTATAAACATGTGTCACTAAGAAGCAAGCAGGAAAGAGCCTCTGATGAGCATCTGTGTGTATTTTATGAAGCCAAAGACTACCACTTCATAAGTTTGTCACTGATGTCTCCAGTTTAATGAGGAGAAACAAAATATGTAGATAGGTGTAAGTTGAAGATGAATTACTAGATCAATCACTTAGCACCATTCAGAGTGTCTGCCATTGTGCGGTGGGAAAATAATGAGATCCGGGATGCTGTTCTTATTTATATACTGCGTGTTCAGTCTCGGGGTGGAATATGGAAAACTTCCTCTTTCATGTCACTGTGGTCTTTATACAGTTTTTCGGCCAGGCTGACTTTTAATTCTGACATTGTCTTTCAGGCTGCAGTCTGCCAGCCTCTTAAATGAAATGCCTCTCCACCATTTCTATTACTGCTGAAAAGAGAGCCAGCAGTCTATTAACAGGCAATAAAGTTCAGGAAGCCCAGGACTCATTTCTTGGGTCAGAGGTGAAAATTGCATACTAAATGAAACAAAGGTGTGCCTTGATCGCTCAAGAAGCAGCACCAGAAAGAGCGCACGTGTTGTTAGCCAGAAGTCTCCCACTTAAAGGGAAAGGAATAATTGTAATAATGTTGGCCGATGGAGTTAAGTACTCAGTTGAGAGAAATTATATCAATCTGACAAATATAGCCTTCACAGGAGATAAAGTCTCTAATGACCTTAAATGCATATATTTATCATTTAATTCAACAAGCCTATTCCCTTGGGCTTTGGACCAAATACATTTCCCCTAAAGTTTAGAAATTTTTTAGTAGCCCAGAGAATAATGGCCATTTGTCAGAGGGTTTCAAAGCTAAACACAGTTGGAAGCAAAGGACAGGAGGGAAAAAAATGGCTAATAGAGTCTTTCCACCTTAGAGAATATTAATATGAAGTTTTGTTGATGCATGAGCTGCGGTATTTTGTGGCTGAACAGTAGGTGGCATACAGGGTAGTGAAGAAATGGGGAAATTTTAATCTAAGCGATTTTCATCTGATTTCATTAACTTCCGAATATGTCATCAGCGTACACAGAACATTAATTTGCAAAAAAATAGGAACACTAAATAGTCATGAAATGTGCTAGTTAAATGTGGAAAAATCAAAAGGATCCCACAGAAATGGAAGCAAAAGGTCTAATGTTTCCTCAGGTAAAGTGTGTGTGAAACAGCAAAGCCCCAAGAATAAAGGGGCCCTTGTGTATGGTGGGCTTTTCCTCACTGTTATTCTTGGTCTCAACTTGATGAAGTGTATTCGTGATATACACGAAGCACTGTGACTCTTGTGTCTCTCTTTGTGAGACTGTCCATGCCTTTGTTCCTGCTGTCAGTCAGTTGTTCTTTCTCTTGGGCAGCCACATTGGTAACCGCAGTATCTACTTGCAAATAGATTTCTGTAAAACCATATTATCCTTCAGGCCTTTACTCCTAGCCCCCACCCCTCTTTCCTCAACAATCTGGCCATTCATGTGGCATAGCTCCCTTGCTTGCTTCTTTGCCATATGTCTAGTGGTTTGTGTTTCAGGGAGGCTGTGTGATACACTGGAATGAAAACTGGGCTGGGTGCCAGGAACCTTGAATTTTTGCACAAGTCAGACTTGGGAACTTGGAAAAGTCATTTGACTTTACCCTCTGAAGTCTCACTCAGGTCTCTTGTAGCTGTAACTCTATGAGTCTTCGAATTCTGTCTCTTACACCTGCTCTTTAGTTCTTTTCATCTTTATGGACATGTTCTATATTGTCATGGTTTTGGAGGTTTTAATTTATTGTTGTTGTTGAGAAAAGCCCACCAACAACAATAAACAAAACCTCCAAAATAATTACTTTTAATGGCAAAACTGCAATTACTTTTACACCAACCTAATATATTGGGGCATGTTTTGAGAAGAATACAAGTTAACTTTAAATTACATAGAAAATAGATACTTGTTTTATCATTTCTCCCGTGTGAAACTAGTGTCTAGTTGTGTTTTATATATCTGAAATCAAAGCACCTTTGATAGGTGCATCTCTCTCTGCATTTTATATGTTAGCAGAGAAGGTGGCTTAAGACCAAAGCTTTGTTTTAAGAGGAAAGTAAATTGTTTAGAGAGATAATTCTATTCCTCGCCATCTTTGAAAAGATATAGGTATGAACTGCATTCTTTCTCGGGGTATGACTTTAGTTCAGCCTCAATATTGCATTTGATCCTCTCAAATGTAGCATGGCTGTAGTGGACTTTTGTCAACAACAGCAAAAGAGGCAGTATAACACATGGACCAAGAGCAGGAGTTCTAGAGATTCATGGACTGTGTTCAAATTCTCTACCACTGACTAGCTTTGTGACCTTAAGCAAGTACTTAACCACTTCTTGCCTCAATTTCCTCATCTTTTAAATGGTATTAACAATAGGATCTACCTCATAGAATTTTTGTGAATATTAAATATGAATATTTCATTGTAAAGTATTGTGAAGAGCTTAGAGCAGGGCTTGGTAAACTGTAGTGAGCACCTCAAAGCAAACTGATTTTAATAATCATCATCACCATCATCCTTCCAAAGTCAAGGGTGCTCTTTTTATCCTTGTGAAGGAAGGATTGTGGAATTCATTCTTTTAGGTTAGAGCTCTTGAGGTTGGCAGAGCCACCACACCTTGAATTAAATATTGTCCCCTTTCTGAATACCACTGGGAAGTGGCCTTCACTAGACCTAACATATTTGAAACATTGATTCATGTTTAAATGGTTCTTTTGCTGAAGACTTTAGTAAGTGTCCCTAAACAGTGCACAGGAGGAGGACTAGGGGTTTTGGCTTCGTGTCTAATTAATTTATGTTCTTGTAGTGCGGTGGAGCAGGGTTGAGAGAGGTAAGAGCTGTACATTTAAACCTTCATAAAGCGTTCTCCTTCATCCCTAACTCCATGAAAGAAAACTCTCTTCCAAGAGCTCCCTTTTAAGGGTTATCTCTTTTACTTTTTTACTACCCCTTAATTTGGCCCCCAGCACTCTTGTGTCTTGTAAACTCTGCCTCCTCAGGCTTCAGCCAGAGTGTAATCTAGCTGGTTTTCTCTAGCATGGAGAAGTATGATCTAGTTTAGAGAACTAGGGGAAGATCCGCATGCTTTTATTCCAGTTCATTCTCTTTTTCAGTATGGACTGACATGGCATCTTTCAGAATAACCTAATAACAAATATGCCTCATGACAGCAAGTATCTTCCCAAGGCATCAGTGTTTTGTCTTAAATGAAGAAGGCATACTCCGCCCATTAACAAGATGTTGACCTTATTCCATATGAAATAACAACCCTGGCCATCCTGTGAATTTGCTTTTTTTTCCCCCCTGGGCTCTTCTCCATCAATGGCCTGTTAAATGAGAATGGCTGTGAGTCACTGAGAATAATATCATAACTAAATATATTGCGATAAAGTGTATGGAAGTATTTCAGATAAGTGATAATACATCTAATCTTTTTGTACAGTCATTTGTTTATTCTTAAATTTTTCTTTAATTATGGTACCTGGTTGTCCAGTGAGTCCTGGGACTTTCTGGGCAGAAATTTGAGGATTCATAGATTCAGACTCTACAGAAAATCTATTACAGCTTTTCACATCTAAAGCTATGCTGTTCATCATTGCCTTTGAACCATAAGAAATGTCAAAAATTGTAGGAGCTTTTTTCTTTTTTTTTTTCTTTTTTTTTTTTGGTGTAACTTTTTTTTTTTTTTTTTTTTTATTATACTTTAAGTTTTAGGGTCTGAGGTACCGGGTTCATCTCACTAGGGAGTGCCAGAAAGGAGCTTTTTTCTTACAGAGAAATTCCAAAATATATGCTACTGGAAATGGAGGGCAAACTGCCCAACTCACAGGATATTAGAAGGGGTATACTTGAATTATGTGGTTAAGGATTTATGGTTGAAAGTAACAGTAGCCCAAAGTTGAGTTTCCCTGAGTGTAGGTAGATTCTTCCTCAAGGAAGAACTTGAAGGGCAAGACCAGTTATAGGAGGCTCTGGTTTCCCTGGAGTGTAGTTAACTCCTTTCAATTCTCCTAACCATTAAGACTGAATGTTAATGTCTGCTAGCATCTGCAGTATGAACTAAATTGTCACAAAACTACCACATGCTATGATTCTTTACTTACTCAAACTCTGCTATAGCCTAAGGTCTCTCTTCATGCAGGGGCTTCCATTGAGAACAGTGTGGATTTAGTAATACATTTAATTGGAATGTTTAATAAGAAGTTAGAGCCTTTTTTTAATCTTGGAAAAGGCATCAATCTTGAGAACACCAGATGTGAATATCATTTTAACAAGAGAATTTTCACTTTGCTTGTATCTTCCAAAGCATGGAGATTCTCCTTTGAAGATATTCATTCTATAGAATATTGTCAGCAATATAAAGGTAGAAGAATAGTTGAGTTTGACTACAGATAAGCCAGGTTAAAAATACAGAAAGCACTTGATGAAAATCATGAGTTGTTAGGATTCAAATTATAGAGCTCCAATAAGGACCCCTGAACACTGATTTTTCAGGCACATTACCAAAGGTACTATACTGAGGTGGTATATGATGTCACTTGGTGGGCTTCACTCAAGTGTTCATTTGAAGTTTGATTCCTTACTCACCTACCATAACTGATTGATAGAAACATAGATCTCCAATTGACTTTAGTTTCTGCTCCACAGATCTGTTATGAATCTCACTGAGAATCTAAGATACAGTTGTAAAGTATAGTTGAAGAGTTTTGGTTTCTATGTATAGTCCAACTAAGCACCTCAGAGCACTGATTGCCAATTGCAATCCTCTAAGTTGTGTTGAGAAAAGAAAAATAAGTTATTTCACCTTCAGTTTCCATGAAATAGGATGAAGTTACTATAATCAGGTAAGGTGACACTTAAAATATTAAAACTTTTGTAAAGAAAGGCAAAATTATGATGTGATATGTGCTATAGACATAGCTGAACATGACTGTTTTTAAACCAAATTCTGGTAGAATAGATTTAGTAGAGTTGGTATGAGGCTCGAGGATTAGTTAGTTCCAGTTGAGAAAAATAGATGAAAAAGAAGTACTAATTGCCACAGTAGGATGTTAGAATTCATTACCCACATGGGTAAGGGTTAAAAATTTAGCATAAATGAGATAGTATTTCTACCATCAGCTGTTCCTCACCAAGATTCTGTTGCTGTGGATTTGTCTGTTATCCTTTTGAAAGCCACTTACGTTTTTAACTTTGTTATAAGTCTTATAAGTTTATGCAGTTCTCCTGGAAAACTTTGTCTATATTTACTCTTTCATGCATTAAATAGTACCTGTTAATTTTCGTGTAGGCCCTAAATTCTTCCTCCCTAGGAGGCCCTTAAGCTTAGCAGTTTAGAAAGGAGAGAGACTGCCTTTGGGACAGTTATCTTTTTGTCTGCTTGTCCTAGGGCTCAAAACCCTTCTACCATCTTGGTCTTCTGTTCTATAAAAGGAAAAGGTGATTTTTTTTTTTTTTGTGGCTCTAAAGAAGGCATACAGTTCTTGATGTAATAAGCTGGCTCTCGATACAGTATTTGAAACAGGGCCACTCACAGGTAGATTACAAAAATGTCACAAGAAAATTATGTAGTAATGAAAACTGGTCTATCTAAGTTTTAAAAAATGAGTGCCCTAGTATTTTCAGGAAGAATGGAAACCTCTATTTAATATAAGTCCTTTGGTCATTGAGATGTGTCAGAACCCTGCCCTTTATTCTGAAGTGCCATTGTGTTAGCGCTGAAATGTAAAAATAATAAACAGCTGACATTTTAGGCACAGACTAAACATCAAGCAAATGACATTACATCAAAGCTCTTGAGAGAGTTACAAGACGACAATATGCCAAAAGAAGAAAAGTGAGAAATAGTCACAAAGTCTTCTGTTTGCAGTAGTGGATTTGCCAGTGCCAGTGCATTTACCCATGCTTATAATTAGGGAGGTTTTGTTTGCATGCAAAATTGTTTTTCAAGTTGGATTTACATAAGGCGCTGGTAAAGTGCATAAAATAACACATGGTTCCAAAATTCATTCTTATTTTTGTTCATTATTAATTAATTAGTATATTAACTTCAAAGTGTGTGTGGTGTGTCTACCGTGTTTGCAAAATGCCCAGAGAATATAGCAGTGAAAAATGATAGACTTCTTTTCCTCACCTCTTCCTTTTTGCTTCCTTTCTTCCCTTTTTCTGTCTTTATTTTCTCTAGTTTTCATTCATTTATCTTTTCTTTTCCTTAGGCAAATGTCAGTGTAACTCCTTTTACCTAATGGTTTTGGTTAAATTAATTATCTATCTAATATATGTGTCACCTTCCTTCAGAGCAAATATTCATAGGATTTGACCATCTGAGGCACAATTAGTCTTTTTTTGAGGATGCAGGTGGGAAGCACACCTGTAATTAGTCCTTGCAGGGCATTTGTCTATACCTGAAATTATTTGCAGGTGTTAAGCATGTGCTTATGAAGAAGGGAACTAGGTATCTGAGGTCCAGAAAAAAAATTGCCTCTTAATTTTAATATTATTTTCTCTCTTCCTTATGTCTTGATTTCTTGGAAAGCAAATGCATCTAGTTTTAACTTAATGTCCTGAATGACTGACTGCAAACAGGAGGTAGAAATGGAGCTTTGGCTCTTTTATGTGGTTCATGTAAGTATTCTCTCTAGCTCTGAGGATCTACTTATATTTGACCCTTTTAGGAAAAATGCTGTAAGGTTTTCCAGTTTTGAGGATAAAATTGCTCATTAAAATCTGTGATGTGTAGCACTTTAATGAATGTTAGCCACATTTTAAGGCTATTGTTATATAGCTCTTAGTGTTCCCAGGATTCCTAATAAAGAGCAAAATTATCTAAACTATTTAATGATTACTAGTGGGTATTGGTAAGCTTTTTTATGAGCTTTTATGAAAGCCTCTTAACCATATGTCATGTACCATGGCATAAAAAATAGAAACAGAAATGCGGCAACAAGGATCTCAATGCTCTGTTGACATCAAATTTGGCAGATTTTGAAAATTCTGTGATCATTTTTCTCTTTATGTGACACTACTCTTGTTCATTCTTCAAAAACATTTGCCTTAGCGTGGGGAATTATAGATAATTTGATGCAACAGGTTTAAGTTACCATTTTCATAATGAAAAGAATAGCTTAGCATGATCCTGATTTTCCTTGGTTTCCTCCCATTCTCAAAAGAAGCAGAGGTATTCACATTTCTTTGTCTAACAGTTTTATAATGTCTTAAGAGATTAACAGTGAGCATGAATGAGGGCCTACGGATTAGACAACAAAAAGCCTGGGACGTCCACTACCTTGCTTGCAGATTTTACATTTTCCAGCATTGCTGAGCGAGTATAGAAACTAAGAAAAGATAATAAGTACCAGAGTCTCAAAAGTGTTTAGTGATTCAAAAAATTCAGATGACATGTCAGAACTGACAGACTGATGGAGCCGTCCGTGGCAGGGCCCACTTTTTTGTCTTATGTTCGGCTCTCATACTGAGTGAATGCAGATGTTATCGCGGTACCCCAGACAGACAGTCAGTGAAATGTGACAAGCTGTCAGCAAAGTTACACTACGTTGATTTTGTTAAAACATCCACAAGCTTTATAGTTTCTTTTTATACAAAAAACTCTTACCTCATTTAGTCAAGAAAATGGAAGCTGTTGAGGAGATCACTTGTGCTTTTATTATCCTTAGAATACCTTGGTTTTTTTTCTCTGGGGAAATTACACTTAGCAAATTAAGTAGTAATGTACCCCAAGTCTTGAATCTCAAAGTATCTCACAGTAATTGTTTTTCTTTTGATTTGTTCTACAATTTTTGCTCAATTTACATTGCACCTCAACACTTGGCAAAGAATGTTTCAAGAACAGAAGGAGTGAATTTTCTTCATTTAAATTAGGAGTCAAGATGAGAGGTTAAAAGTCTGAAGGGCCACTTTAAACAAAAAAGCTTTCTTAAAAGAAGCTTAGGCATGGAAAATGAAACTGTGAATTTTGAGTAATTAAAAACTAAGACCTTTGCTTTTACTCTTTATTTTTAGGCACTGAAAATTAACATTGGCAGGAGAAAAATCCCCATCAAAAACAAACATTCAATCCTTTCATGAAAATCAATTCTGTTTTCCATATACGGTTTAGACATTTAGATTTTTCTTATAAAATTGGAAAAAAAAAAGATGATATTCTAGAGAATCTTCACTGCTATATGGTATTTATATCTAAAAGTTAGCTTTGCTTATTAAGTGATCATTTTTTGACATCAATTTCAAATTCAATTTAACTCAGGAATTTATAAGTCAGAACAAGTAAAACAATAGTTAATTGAGCAAAAATGTAAAAAGAACATATACTTGGAAACTGCCGTCTTAACGGTGTTGCTTTTACTGATAATAATGCTATCTTTTAAACCAAAGAAGACATCAGTGATGACATTTGACTTTAACATGGCAGTTTATTTTTAGCCTCTGGGTGCAATAATTGGTTGTTTTTTACCCCATGTCAAAGTGCTTCTGTTGTCTATAATCTATTTAATTTTGAATTACAAGTTGTTTGGTAGAAGATTACTTTGCAATCCTAGTTTCCACAAATTAACCTCTGTTTATACATTCACTTTTGAAAACCAAAGGTGAAAGGAAAACATGAGCCACACTTGTTGTGTTCAATTTATATTGTCACCAAGGACATTAACATACAATGAGAAACTGTTCTGTGATTTTGCAAAATGAAAAGTCAAGACAGTTTGAAGATAGCATCTAGCCCAGTGTTTTTGTAAAACACAGAACTAAACAATCAAACAAAATTATGCATATGGAGGAAATGATTTAGAATATGTTTCGCTGCTAATCGCACTCATGCTGAAGTTTTAAATTTCATCTGTCTGCTCAGATCTATTGTGAGCCATTAAGTGGCTTCCTTTTTTCCCGACAAATTGAATGCTGCAACTGCAAGGAGCTCTTTTGTTCTTTTAATTCAGTCAGCATGGAAATGATTTTCTCATTTCAGGCCCTTTTCTGTCCTCTCTTCATTGTGTCAATAAAATAGAGTTGTGCAGAGCTGCTCTAATCAGCTTAGAGTGCTAATTCATTGCGCCGGGATGCTATCTGTGTTTGGCTACAGGTGGGCACTCTAAGGGGTCAGTCTCCAGGGGAGTGTAATTGTGTGTCTCCTGGGGCTTGTTTGCAGAATGACCTAAAGCTGAAGCCCCAGCTCAGGAAGGGGGGGAAAAACTGAACAAACATATGCCCATGCAAACATATACAGCTGTATTTTCATGGCATCCATTTACTTGGTTCGGCATCCTGAGGTTCTAGCAACATTCCTTGCATTTTACCTGTCCTCAGCGTTCTATGATTAGCCATAAAACACGAATTCTTTTAAACTTTGCACACATTTTCTAAAGGTACAAGCTTTTTGGTATTTCCAAGATACAAGTTAAAGGTTAGGCTAGGATTTAACCTATGGGTAATACGACCAAACTAAACTTAAAAAGAGAAATAGAAACTGCCAATTTTGAAAAATATATCATTTTGTGTCCTATGAAAGTAGCTTAATACATAAATATGGAAATATTATGAACTAGTAAATTAAGCTTTATGGGGACTGAGGAATTTCTGGCAACTTTGGAAGAGATATAATGATTAGTTTTTTGGAATAAAGAGAAAAACTGTAGGCATTAGGTTTTTGAGATTTAACATGTTCTTGGGTAGCCTAGGGGAATGGCAGATCTTTCTGGGATTATTGTTAGTGTGAGTCAAAAATATGCTGTGAATATGAACTTATTTACTGGGGTTTGAGATTTTTGGTGTTAGGATTAAAAATGCTATAACATCTTGTTTTTATTGTTTTCTAACAATATTTTAATTTTTTACTTTGATTTACATTGAGATTAATTCCACTCTCAATGGAAAATCTTCAGGACTTTATAACTCACGTTGTTATGTAATAACTATAAGCAGGTTTGTGAAGTAGAAAGAAAAGAAGCAATAAAAGATTTCAGCTATGCGAATCTACTGGTTAGCTATGGAGGGACTGAATAAATATTCTTTGATTTACTTAAGAAACTTGAGACTTGCCTATATATTAGGAAAAAAAGTGTATTCTGCTTATCAACAAAAGAACTGGGGGGAAATGTCATACTATTTAAATGATTTGAGAAGAAATTTATAGTTATGTTGTGATGAATTCAACTAGCTTCACAACATGTCAGTTTACAGTTTGTATTGTTATATATGAAGCTTTGTATAAAGACAGTAATTGGCTTGTGGAAATGCAAGTTCTTAAAAGATACCTAAGAAAAAAATAAGGTTATCTTCATGATTAGAAGATAGTATTTTATTTTAATTTTAAAATTATTTCCCTCTCTAATGTTTTGGCTACATACCAGCTGGTTTGGTTGATGTTATAACACTACTGCCTTTTGGAAAAGATTCTGAATTTTACTTAGCTATTTACATTACTTATTTAGGGTTAACTTGGAGTAGCATCAGGAGATGAAGGCAAAAATATGGCAACTTGTATAAAACCGATCTTTTTTTATTGTCCTCCATTTGGAAACATTTTTATGTGGGGCTCCAAGATAGTCAGAATTTAAATTCCTCAGTCTCAATTAGAGTGAGTTCTCCATTTTAATTGTTATTAATAATTAATGATTTTTGGTATAAATGATTTTATTTCTAAGCAAAAATAGTATTAACATTATTTTCCAAAATTGATGAAGTAGTTGATTCACTTAATTTTGTGTTTTAAAGTGCTTTCTTCTTAATTCCCGACTCATTATCCTATGATTTTCTTTCTTTCCAGATAACTGAGTTGGAGGCAATTTTAGCATTAGCTATCTCTTATAAACAGCCAAATCCTTTGGCCATGCTTAGGCTTATGTAGCATGAATTATTCAATGAGAAGGAAAAAAGCAGTGTTTTAGCAACTTGTTTTGGTGATTTTTATTTTTATGAAAATAAATTGTAGCCTCGTGGGATAAATCAACAATGTAACTTCCCTTTTGGGGAGAGGCTCTAAGTCACATCAGCATAGTTTTGGTCCAGACAGCAAAGCTCTAACCCTCATTCAGCTCAAATGGGCCACCAAAGAGAGCAGAGAGAGATAAGATTGTGTACTTGAGAGGGACATTTTTAATCAAGAAATTGTCATCTCTTCTTAGGTCATCTATTTCCCTAATTCTTTTCTGCGTTGAATAGCTTCGTTGCAAGAAAAATGTTGGTGAAATGATTTGGTCCTGAGTCCTATTGCAGAATGCTCTGAGTATGGGCTCAAATGCCTATTGGACAAAATGAAGTTGGTTTGTCTTTACTGTTTATTATGATTGTCACTTCTAAGCTTTACTATGATGTTTATGATTATTTCACTCCCTGAATGAATAGGATATGAAATTAGACATTAAAAATTTTAGTGGTGGAATAAAATTGTTGGTTTGGTTTTTCTGCTACCACTAACTCTTAAGGCCATACTTTTCCCCCCAACAAGTTTCAGAAAAAAAATATTGCAAGGAATATTTATGTGCTTTGAGTTTTTACGTTAGACAACTCCACAGTTAAACTACCACATCAGAGTCAAGAAGATAATTTCATAGTAAAGTTAGCTAATTACTGAGATAGCTCCTTTAATATGTGACTCCCACTTGTAGATACCTAGCCCACATATGTCTTTTCTGGTGTGAGAGATTGTTTTTATAAAATTGTTAAAAATGACCGGTTTTAAGAAATTATTAACTTCCATTAATATATTTCTTTAAATCTAACTCAGTGATCTTCTATTAGAACTCAATTATTTTCTGCCTTACAGGAAAATCTACTTGTTTTAAATATTAGTAACTACGGCTATGTAAAATGAAATGTAAAAGAAACAAAACGTATCAGATTTGAATGATTCTCCTTTCCCTGTTTTAGCTAAAAAATAAAAATAAAAACATCACTTTTACTTAGTTCTGTAGTTGGCCTCCACAAAACAATTTCTAGAATAAATGCTTATCCTTCCTAAATAAGAGGTCATTGTTGCAGTTTTCCGTGAATCAAAGATGAATAGGGTCCATCTATTATCAATTCCTCAATCAGAGAAAAAAGGAAATTAAGTTCCTAATTAGGTGAATTTGGACTAAAGAGGTGGGGCATTGAAGGGATAAGGAAAATTGAGAGGTAGTTGATGCCATTTCAGACTAATGATAGGAGAGGAAATGAAGATGGGGGTGGTAGGAGTTGAGCTTGAAAGGTCAGTGACCTTATTAGGACAAGAGTAGTGGTAGATCTTCAAAAGCTTTTACCTGCAATAGGCTGACAAGGCGTCAGGTTCTGGGGATGGTCAAAGATTCAAACACTTGAGAAAGAGTGTGGTAAAAATAAGATTACATATTTTAATAAGGGATACATTTGAATATTATTAACAAAAGAAAAATGACCGTTATCAGCTTTGTAATTATAATTTTTGCTGAATCATTTTTCTATGTACTTTAAAACATTCATTTTAGGTATTAACTGGGTTTACTTTAATGTGGAATAGATAATGCTTCTTTTGAGGGTTAGACTTCACTGTTAGCATAATGAATAGTTCTCTTATATTAATACCTACTAGAAAGATACATAAATACATTACTGTGTAGATTTATCACCTTAGATACAAAATTGCAATTATTGACTAAAATATCTATCATATAGATATGCAATACTTTTTTATGTAGACAAAACTTTGATTTTTCCTTAATAATTAAATTATCCAGGTATTCATTGACAAAAATATGTTAAGATTTGATCTTTAGCCACAGTCCTTCAGAAGTTCTTCAGCAAAGGGATTGTCAGAATAAAGTGGGTACATCTATATTAAGAAACAAAAGATAATTTATATAAAAAAATCTTTTCATTAATGTGTTTTTCTAAATTTTTAAAATATAAACATTGTAAAGAATATAATGAATGAATAATTCTGGTGTTCAGGAATGTAAATCGGATTAGTTAGATGAGAAAATTATGAGATTTGGGGCAATTTTTAAGCTCTTTAGGTTATATGTGGGTTACTAGTACTATAATTTTATGAAACAACACTTTTTAACATTTAGTGTTCTTTATTGAGTAGCATGGGTGCTTCAGAGATGGCTTTGACCTGGATATTTTTATCCAGAAAACAAGAGATTTTTGTTTTATTATGAAAGACCCCCAGTAAATAAAATATTTCAGAGTCTTTCCACTTTAATTCTCTCTGTGGTAAATACACAGCCATAGACCTGTTATTACTTTACCATCCGATAGAGATATAACATGAGTCACATAAGTAATTGAAAATGTTGTAACAGCTGCATTTATAAAAAGTAAAAAAAAGGTATAATTTAAATAATATATCTAACCAGAGGATCCAAAATATTGTAATTTCTAAATGCAAAAACTAAATGACTGAAATACTGTACCTATTTTGTACTAAAATCTTTGAAATCTGGTATGTATTTCACACTTATAACACCTCATAATTTGGACTAGCCACATTTCAAGCACTTAGTAGCTGCATGTGGCTACTGGCTATTGTATTCTACATAGCCTTGGAAAATCTCGAAGACTCAATCTTTTACAGTGTGATTCAGCTCAATGTTAGTTATGACAGAGAAGGAAGCACTGAAAGCCACTGTGGAGCCATCTGGCCCAGCCTACTCATTTTATAAATGAGGACACTGAAGGTCAAGAAGGGTCAGTTACTTGCTCAAGGTCACCCAACTACTTTGGGGGTAGAGCTTAGACCAGGTTCCAAGTCTCTTCCTGAATTTTAATTTATTTTTAGTTCTGTTAAAATATGCTGCTTTTGTTGGCTGCTTATGTAAAGGTGTTGACATGTGAAGTGTAAGAGAATAACAAGCACAAAACCAACTAACAACCAAATAAACAAAATAGGGAATTGTTCAGATAGTCTTGAAACTTTGAATGTTGAAGGAATACCACTCAGGTAAAGGATTATTTGTTAAGATTCTTGCATAAACTGCATATCACTTCATTAGACTCTATCATATTTTTATAAATAAATATTGATATTATAAGTAGATATATTAATTGAATTGTAGCCATTATAAACAATTTATTTTGGTATCTCTCTCAGCCCCAAACAGGAAAATAATGGCAGGGCTTGCATTTCATTTTACATTGAGTTACTGGAGTTTTTAACTTGGATTGTTGTGATTGAAGCCTTGATAGGAAAATGACTGAGTCCCTGTCTCATATTCATTGGCCCACAGAGACTCAAAGAAGAAAAGATCGTTCATTCTTCTGCATTTTTCTTTCCTTAGACAATATCTGCAATTAAGCCCCACCTGACAGGGCTAGTAAAATGCTGCCGATTACAATTTATCTAGAAAGCATAGACGGGAAATATACAGGTCTTCTTTTACAGAATTGGCAGCTGATGGTTATTGAACCTGAGCTAACATTCCCAAATGAAATGAGGTGGGGCAATTTGAGTCATATGATAACAATGTTGTCATCCTGGAGAACAGTCTCGGTATGAATCAGCACAGTTCTGTGAAAATTAAACATGTGAACACCAAGCAAATGCCACAGAACCTCCTTCAGTTACAGGCATGCATACCTGTATCCATAGGAGGGCCCCCCACTAGAGCGTGAAGTGGCCCAATGTTCCTGGAGAAAGAGAGGGGCTGCTGTCACCGACTAGACGAGGTTTGTAATAGTATCGTCCTGTTTTCACTCTCCACAGTAGAAAATTTCTACTAGGCTAACAAGGCAGAGGGTAATGAGAAACATGCCAAGTTTAAAAAAAAGAAAAAGAGCAAGAAGGAGGGGTCTAACCTACGAACAGGAAACAAATGTGATCAATTACTCCAAGTGTGGAGCTCACAGATACCTTATCTTAGGGCTCCTTAAAATAAAAGCCTGATTGTTACCAAATGCGTCTAAGAAGTGAGGGAGAAAAACACTGGGGGAGGGGGGAAAGGGGAGGATGAGAGGGAGGGGAATGGGGGTGAACATGACTTTATATTGATGTAAAAAAATGCAGTTCCACTCTGGTTCTCAGTCTCCTGAAGTATTTAGAGAAGTGGTTAACAACCAATCATAGCCTTAACTGTGCAGGCAGTAAAACAACTCAATATTTGAAAAATAAAAGTACCCAAATATGACATGAGGGCAGGGGGAGGTAGACCGAAATAGTAATGTATCATGCTGCTGAAGATGCAGTCATTCTAAGGCATTTGTTCTGTTCTTCATAATTATTTGACTAAAATGTTTTAAAGACAGTCTGTTTTTTGAAATGATTGCAAATAAAAGGTCTATGGCAATAAATGTGTAGAAGTTATTAATCTTTTCTTTGACTCAGAATTGAAATATTCATTTTTACATTAGCTGTCTGGCAAGGAAGTCTACATATAAAATGTTTACTTCTCTTATGAAATAAATAATAATAGTAATTACAGTGTTAATACCACTCATCTTTAAAGGATTGCTTTGTAGTTCCTGAAGAAGAACGAGGTAGAATCCCATGAAAAGGTGTGAGTATATTCTACTCATCCTCAAATCAGGAGGGAAATCTCATAGTTAAGGCTATGAGTCAGGACCTCAGGGCTGGTGGATCTTGGCTACATATTCCCCAAATTTCCCATAAGTGCAATAGAATTAACACTATCCCTTTCTTGGAGATCCTGGGTCAGTAGGTGTTACAGGATTATGTTATGAGGTGTGACTATAAAGTAGTAAGATTGTTTTTCACACTCCACACCCAGAAACAGCCTCTTTTTACTTCAGTGAATAAAAACATACTAATTTTTCTAAGGGCATTCACCTCATCTGGTCCTTATGCACATGTGTGCACACACAGACAGAATCTGCAATATTCCCATCTTTCTCCACTCTCACATACACTACCACTGCTTTCTCAGGGAACATTGACAAATGCATATGGAATAGAGTTATTTCGGTTGCTAGAAATATTTTTTTTTAAGGCTCAGTGTCTTGCTGGGAAGATGCCCTGTAGATAAGCAGAGAAATAATCGCCCATTTTCAGAGGACTTTGTTAGAATGGTCTTGTCATCCTGTTCTGCCCATATTTTTCCAATTAAGTTCTAGCCTGTTGGAATCGAATGTCTTCATGGGATGGCAGACTGCTCAAGTAGGCTATTTTGCACATATTCTGTAGCATGCTTAGCAATGGGGCTTGTCAGTCAGTCAACACGTATTTATTGGGCGTTTATGTGGCGAACCAGACAAATCCATTCCCTGAGCTCTTGCTCTTATGTTCACAGAGGCCTGTCATCCACACAGAATTTCTAATAGAAATTTTCTTTTTCAAAGTGAACTCATCTACATTTGAATCAGAAGAAGGGAAGGTGAGAGTAATTGAATGCTTTTGTTATGGGTCATTTCAATTCATTTAAGGGTAGATAACTTCTCTTGTAGATATCTTTCAGTTAATTCTAACTCCTCCTCATTTTTTGTCTTTTATTTGTGGTTAGTATGATTATGAAAGAAACACATGCATATAGTAAAATTCAAGCAGTGCAGAAGTCTTTTTTCCCCTAGTAAATACTCCGTGTCTCTCTATAGTTTCAACAATATCTTGCATATCATTCCAAAAAGTTTACAGGAAAATGCATGCACACACACAGACATTGTGTGTATGCGGACAAAAATCTTTTTCTTTCAAATGTGTACCTATATATTCACTTATTTGATTTATTTTTGTAGTAATATTTTGGATATCTTTCTCTATGTAGCTAATTCTTTTAAATATTTATTTAATTAACTAAACATACCTGTCTCCATCCACTAACTGCCCCCCCATGAAGTACAACCAATGTTTTTATTGTGTATCATCTCTCTAAATATATGATATGCATGTAGAAGCAAATGCATATATGTTGTTTCTCTTTTTTACATTAGTATAGACTGAGTATACCATTCTGCAGTTTGCTTTTTTCCAGTTAACCATTTGTCTTGCTGATCATTCCATATCCACATGTAGAGAACCTCCTCATTCTTTATCAATTATTGTATAGAATTCCACTGAATGGATATACCATAATTTGTTTAAAGGTTTCCCTATTATTAAACATTTGGGTTGCTTTTATTTTTATTTCTTTTTTGCTATTGCAAACAATGCCAAATCAATAACTGTACATGGAGCAAAAGGGCATATGCATTTATAACTATTTCAGGTTCTGCCAATTTTCCATGGCTGTGCTAACCAACCATGGAACTATATATGGAACTATATGCTGAGAGCAGCATATAGAAGTCCCTATTTCCCCACTCTTACACACCAGCATGGTGTGTAACTAAGTAGTGTCTTGGAGTATTTTAAATTTTTTTTTATAGTAAGAGTGAGGTTAAGCATTTCTTTTCATGTAGTTAAGGATCATGTGTAATTTTTTTTTATTCTTTAAATTGTCATTGAAGTGCATTTTTTCCCCCTGTGGCTTGCTGACATAAAATGACTTACCCATGGTCACATATCTAGTTAGCTACCGAGGCAGGACTAGAATTCAGCTATCGTGGTTATTAATTTGGTAATTTAATATTTCTTACTGTAGTACATTAAGAATAATACGTTATCATTTGAATCCTCCCAACCTTGGGTTATTGTTAGGATCATATGAAATAAGTTAGAATGTGAAACAACATTTTCAAAATTAAAAAGAGACCTGCAGAATGTATGATGATGGTTCATTTAATTTTACAAAGAAATCACAAGATTTACCACTTTGAAAATATGCAGTTCATAATGAAAACAGAATAAATAGTTTGACCTGGCTGCAGTCTGAGAGAGGTAAGGCAATTAGGTTGTTATGAGCCTTCTGGACAAGCAGAGTCCTGATTTTACTAGCTTCGTGCTGACATGTATGCCTTGTTTTTTTTCCTTCCCTAAAGAATGGAAAACATTGTACCTTCACAGAGTGATGGCAGTCTTGCTTCGCTTAAAACTTCATCACCCTCTGCATGAGCAATTTGCCTTGTTCTTTTAAAAGTGGGGGGAGGTGGAGGCAGATCATATTTGCAGTTTTTTTCTATTAGATGTTTCAAAATAGGTGGATTAAATGAAATTTGTTCATCTGTGTGTTATTGTTTATCAGAGAAAAATTCAGAACTTTTCGATAATTGGCTTTCATTGTTTTCACCAGTGTTGACTCTAGATAGCACAGAGGTGTATGCAGATATTTCCTTGGTTACTTTATCGTGCCATGTCGTTATGTAAAATCACTTCAAGGCATTTACTTTTATTTATATTTCATATTGGCTGGGCAAACTGTCTATTAATTTTGTGTGCACATAGCTTAAAGACATTAGCCCATACACAGTAATGGCTGGCCTAACTTGCATGTACAAAAGTGGAATTTAGGAGATTAACTTGCATTTGACCTACTTCAGCTCTCCTGGTAATGAGGGGTGCAGGAGCACAGAATTAATCTCTCTCAATTTGTGGCTCTCAGGGGTGCTGCTAAGTTTTAGAGTGCTTGAATTTTAAAAGTCTCCTGTTGTGCTGAGGAGTTTTTGCTACCCAGTAGAACTCTATTGACTATTGTGATTGAAGTACTGGTTTTATCTATTGCAGCAATATTTGTGGCAAATATTATGAACGCACATAAAGTGAGTTAACTGTATTGTTTGGCTCAGACAGTAAAATGGGAAAAACTTGGGTCAAACCTGTGGAGCCATGATGTCTTTTTTTTTCTTCCTATCCCTGGAAGTCTTAGGTTAGCCAAAAATGCATAAGCTTTAAACTGCTTTACAAATACGCCAGAAGCTGTCTTTTATCGTATATTTGTTATGCAATACTGAGGTACTGCTGCTGGGAAGGTATAAGTCAAGTTGATATAATTTGGATTGATTAGCTTTTAAAAGCTTTGAAATGACAGTGCAATTATTGCTATGATGCAGGTCCCTTACAGCTGGATTAATGCATTTAGTGAACAATTTGGCCATGTAATTTATTTCTGTGGAGTTCACATTAACTGTTAAATGCATTTATTCCCCAACAGTCGTATTAATACTGTGATAATGTGCAGCAGTAGTAGCAGGGATAAACTCTAAGAACTTCTCAGTCCCAGTTTAGTTTCAAATTCTCCCTTCATTTCCACTAATTTTTATCATGTAGCAGATCAGTAGCAAACTATGTGATGTCTCTTACCTCTTCCTCTTCCTCTGGCTGTCCTTTAATACAGGTGAAGGGATCAAAGGTTGACAGGAAGCCTATGGACCAGAAATCAAAGATCTGGTTGCCCCCATATCTGCATAATTGCTCCTCAAATTTCAGACAGTGGCCTTGGCCGTTCACTATGCAGTGGTTTTTGTTTTAGAAACCTCATTCTGACTAAACTCATAGATTATGCTGAGTGGATCATGCTTAGTCAGTAGTTTCAGATGATAATGATTGCATAACTATAAAAGGTTCCTTTGAGAGATCATCCTGTTTAACCCTTCATTTTACTGATGAGGCAAGTGGGTCCCAGAGAGGCTCAAGGTCATTTGCTAGTTGGTGGCAAAACAAAGCCTAGAATTCAGGCTTCTTGACACTCAGGGCTTTCACTGGGACTCCTCTCTGTAGAATATTTAAGGTTACCCCATTTACATCTCTTCTTATTTGTCCCGCTTGAGCACTTTATACTCTTTTTAGAAATGTGAGAAACACACTGTAGTTGATGTAGTTTTTTTCAAAATATAGAGAAGGTTTACATTTAGCTCTATCTGGGAAACATTCTGAGAGATTTTCTATAAATAACCCCTCACTATATTACAACTTCCAGGACACTATGCCTAAAGTGATAATTTTACACAAAAAACACATATATGTCATTTACATGATATAGACACACATCCATACACACGCAGTATAGTATTCCAACTTATGTTCCTTTAAAAAGTAAATGGCTACGAAGCTACCAAAATGTAGTATTTTCCTTTTATTCATTACAAAGATCAATCTTTTATTTTTTATCCCAAAGGAAAATACTAATATTTATAATATTTATCAAAATGCAATGAGATTTTATATTATTTCCAACAATTTTAAGAACTCGCCAATTTTATGTCTTCAGGTTAGAAAAATAAGTTATTTTGTATTAGAAAAGCAATACTTTGAGTCTCCTTTGGTAAGTTTAAAGCAAAAGTTTGTTGGCATTTTGAATGTCAACAATGTTTAATAATTTCAAGGATGGTACTGCAAAATGTTTGACTAATTTAAGTATGTTCCAACCATAAGCATTTTATCTCCTTAACATGTCAGGTTGGTCCCTTAAAAAGATTTATTGAAATTAATATGTTCTGTAGAGTTGAGCGCCAGTGTATATTTTTACATATGGAGAAGTAAATTTAAAATTGTACAGTACATAAAAGGTTTTGAAAACAGTTATAAAGACTTATTTAGGCAGTGATTTAAATTTAAATTAACAGCAACACTGACAATTTTCTATTTGTTTAGCTATTAACGAAGCTATTTAACAAAATGTTTTGTAGACTCCAGTTCTTAGACTTTTTTTCTTTTTTAAAAAAATACAACATTCCTTTTTGATTCTGGCGAGTCAGGAGGAATTCCTACTCTGAAGACAGAGCCAGAGTACAGAGTTAATGTGCAGCAGTGGCCTTCTTCCTTGGACCCTAAGATGCTGGAGCCACTCACTGCACTTTTCAAGCAGCTGCCAACATTGTCAGCACTGATCTGTCAGTAAGGATTTCTCCTGGCAAAACTCTGAAGCTACTTTCTGACATCTTCAACAAACTAATTGTTGTCTCCTGCCTCTGCGAGCCCTCTGAAGTCCCAACGAGTTAGTGTCTTCTCAAGAGATGAGAAAAAGGACTCACAAAATCAACTTATCAGGCTATTACGCATTGTCATCAGCCAAAACAAAAACCTGCTAAAGACAGGAGAAAAAGTAGAAGAAATGGGTCTCTGAGAAAAGGTTACAGAACATCCATCTTCTCTCCTCTTCTGATTGTTTCCTTTCTTTGCCCATTTTCATACCCGTTTCCCTCTGTTAAAAGACACTTTATGACAAGCATTGTAATCTCTTTAGAACGGAGGGGAACCTCTTCTTTAGGACACAATCTTTGCAAGTTGTGAGTGACAGTGGGAAAGGGTCCAATTGCCACTGAGGACACCAGGCAATAAATCATCCTCCCCTGGCATCAGCTGGCTGGACGAATCCCCACTTCCTGAGTAAGTACCAGGGCCTAGATGTGACAAAACAGCTATTGTCAGCTCCTAGTGGCCACATTCCCACTTTCTCTCTACTGAGATTTTCCGTTTACTCGAGACTTTTAGTAGTGCAAACCATATTGGGAAGAAATATTCAAATAACTACCATTAGAAAGTGAAATATCTGAGAGTTGGATAATTATAATATTCATCTAAGAGCAACAATTATTAGAGGAAACCTTCTGTTTTCATTTTACATATCATCAAGCAGTTGCTTTATCACCATTAAAAGTGGCATGTCTTTTCATTTTTTAAATGTTTGATATATAGAGTAGTTCTCAAAATGACTTTATAAGAGCAATGTGCAAAAGATCAGGTAAAAATTTTATAAATAATATGAAAAGATAGATTGCTGTAGTGATAATTTTATAATTTGGTAGAGTTAGGGCATTTTCAAATAGACACTTTTCTTTGCAGTGATTAAGTTTAGATATACTATTATTATTAATATGCTTGTAAAATACTGTAAGGGGTAAGCTGAGTTCCAGTTATTTCATGTGTAGTTAAAAACCATTCAAAAATCCCAAATATAACAGATATTTTATATATAAATAAAATTCATACAAAATTATTCCAAATTTAGGAAATAAAATTTTTACCATAAGTATAAATTATACATATTTCATTATAAACTTGGTTAATTGCTGAATATGTAATATATGACAGCATAAGTACTGAAATCTGAGATTTTTAAATAGTCTTATAACTAAGATAATTTAAAAATTATCTTGAAAAGTATATACAGAACATACTTATACCTATTGAGAACATGCTATTTTGAGTGGTGAAAACTTTCTTGTGTTTTGAGAACTTATTAAAAAATCATTTTATTTTAAATTGTTGTGGGTGCATAGTGGGTGTATATATGTATGGGGTACATGAGATGTTTTGATACAGTCATACAATGTGAAATAAGCACATCATGGAGAATGGGGTGTCCATCCCTGAAGCATTTATCCTTTAAGTTACAGACAATCCAATTACACTCTTTTATTTTAAAATCTATAATTAAGTTATTGTTCATTATAGACACCTTGTTGTGCTATCAAACAGTAGGTTTTATTCATTTGTTCTTTTTTTTTTTTTGAGAGGGAGTCTCACTCTGTCACTCAGGCTGGAGTGCAGTGGTGCGATACTGGCTCACTGCAACCTCCGCCTCCCAGGTTCAAGCGATTCTCCTGCTTCAGCCTCCTGAGTAGCTGGGACTACAGGCATGCGCCACCAAGCCCAGCTAATTTTTGTATTTTTAGTAGAGATGGAGTTTCGCCTTGTTGGCCAGGATGGTCTCGATTTCTTGACCTCATGATCCTCCCACCTCGGCCTCCCAAAGTGTTGGGCTTACAGACGTGAGCCACCGCGCTCGGCCCCTTCTGTGTTTTTTTTTTTTTTTTTTTGAACCTATTAACCCTCTCCACCTCCCCCGCCAACCTCCCCACTACCCTTGCCGGCCTCTACTCTCTAAGTCCATGAGTTCAATTGTTTTGATTTTTAGATCCCACAAATAAGTGAGAACATGTGATGTTTGTCTTTCTGTGCCTGGCTTATTTCACTTAACATAATGACCTCCAGTTCCATCCATGTTGTTGCAACATAGATCTTACATTTTTTAGCATAATTTTTCTCAAAGAAAAAGAATGACTTAGTAGAGATTATTTAAATAACAAATTGGTAAAATCTATTAAAAGTGGGACTTTAAGATTGTATTAGAAAAATCCTTTGTTTACATAATGCTTAAAATTCCTGAACAAGTATAAAATACAGTCTATCACCCTGGTCTAGTTCATAAACATTTTTGATAACTTACCATGTCTGTCTAATGTTCAGAATGCTTCAAATATTTGTCATTATATTGACAAAATATCTGGATAATTGACAGATTTTTTAATGTTCCACCTGCTTGTCTCATGTAGACACAGCTCATATCTATTTCCCTCTGCAAAAATATATTCTTGTCCAACTTACCTGTCAGGCTCTTTTATGATTATGAAGAATACCTTGCAAGAAGCTGATGGATTCCCTTTTTATCCCCTAAATCATCTTGAGCTGTCACATTGGAGCTGACACACTTTCATTATCATAAATACACACAATACACCTCTTTACAATTTAGTAACAAATGGCTAAATGTATTTTTAAAACATTTTAATTGTGTAGAAAGCTATATCTGGTGCATGTTTTTCTTTTTCATGTTGTAAAATCCAGTGATTAACTGCCATCTTTTAATATTGGTGCGGTGATGATCATAATATCAAAAGCATTCTGGCATTATGAATTCATAGTCAAATGGTGACACCAACCAGATGAGATGATGGTGTACCAGGCTCGATGACAGTTCTATCTCAGTTTATCATCTTAACTAAAAAATAATCCTATCTAACTTGAAATCCACAGCAGCTATAAGTAGAAAATAAATCCAAACCACAGCTCAGACTTGTAACCTAACAGCTATCATAAATAATCAGAGCCTATTTGAAGGTGGAAGATGGGACATTAGAAGCTATTTACACTACTAGAGTGATGCCATCGATCAGTAGCGGCAACCCGTAGATAAGGCTCCTATGATGTCATGGTTATTTATGATGGGCATTGACAGTAAAGCTACTACGGAATTTTCTCCTCAGACAGCTTCATTCATTTTTGTTTGTGATGCATTTTGTTATTAAAGAAGCAATCAATAGCAAAAATCGTGGTGATAAAAGTATTACTTGTTAAATATGTGAAAAATGTGCATGTATGTAAGAATGTGGGACAAAAGATGAAGAATTTAAAAATTCACTGGCAGTGTTTACGTGTTCCAGCTACAAATACATAATAGATTCATTTCACATGTCTTGGGCTTTCAAATGTGGCCCACTTGTTCTTCCTCTTACATCCTATTCTCTTGTTAGAAAGCAGAGTTAAAATGTTGTGGTGCCCTCCCACTTCCCCCCACATCATATATTTGACTCACTTTAGACAATATAAAATTTAATTAGAGAAATCACATGTGATAAAGACAAACACCCATTACTTTGTACATAACCCATCTATATGAGAGCAAATTTGGTGATTTCAGTTTAGTTTTTTTTTAAATGTCATTTTTTACTTGTTTTGTTTCCCCCCATCCTGTAGCTCATCTTCTATTACTGAAAATATTCACTAGACCAGTGCTTCTCATACCTTAATATACACACACATCAGCTGGGAATCTTGTTAAAATGCAGTTTCTGTCGCAGTAGTTCCGGGAAGGGCCTGAAATCCAACATTTCTGATAAGCACCCAGGTGACTCAATGACAGTCCAGGGATGCTGGTCCAGGGATCACACTTTTAGCAGCAAGACACTAGGTAAGGTGGTTATTTCCATACATTGCAGTCTTCCCTTCAAATCATTTGCCTGTATTTAAAATGGATGTTTTTCTCATTGGTGTAGAGCAGTGGTTCTCAAACTTTAGCTGTAGAGAGCCATTTGGAGTGGTTGTTTAAACAGATGTCTGTGCCCCATCCCCGAGTTTCTGATTCAATAAGTCTGGGGTGAGCCCAAGAATTTGCACTTCTAAAAAGTTCCCAAATGACCACATTTTTGAAAACCCCTGGTGTGGAGTCCTAATTTAACATTCACATGACACTTGAAGCCCTTATGTAATGCTGGCAAGGTGGTAAGTTATAAGACAGATAATAAAACAGGGGAGGGGAATTAACATTTGTTGAATGCGTACTGTGTTTTAGGCATTGTAGATGCTAACGACCTACATTATTTCATTTGTCTTACCTAATTACCTTAATTTATTCAATATTGATTTTGGTTCTACTCTATATAATATTTTCTGGAAATCATTGGAAAAATGGCCTAAATTCTCATAGTGCCATAAAAACAAAATTCTTGCCCTGTTTTCTATGTGGTTCCAAATTTTTACTCTGAGAATGTAAAAACATAGCTTTTTTTCCCCAAGCCCCCTTTTCCTATCACTCTCTTCCTCCCGATCTGCTAAGACACTATGAGTAACGATAAACAGCAAAGACAAAAAATAACATAATCTCTACCTTCTAGGGGTTTATAGTCTAATGAAGGAGGCAGGAATTCTACAAGATTGTGTGTAGTATAACAGCAGAATGAAATTCTTGTGAAGAAGTGCAACCTTGCATAGAGGAATGAGATCCATTTCTCACCCTCTCTCCCTTTACTCTCCTTTTCTTGCAGCTTCTATGCTTCCCAACACACACACACACACACACACACACACACACCCCTAACATAAATACATTTCCTAAATACCTATAATTCAGAAAAAAGTGTTATCTATAGAAAGGTTTCTTTGGCCTAAATTACTCCAGTTTTCTGATAGCCCCAGTTCACACCATTTCAATTCAGTGGGTTTCTGTGAGGTGCCTACCATTCCAGATATTTGGGGCACAGTGGGGACCAAGACACAGCCCCAGCTCTCCAGAGTTGACAGTCTAGGGCAGGGAGACCTACAAGCAAACAGGCAGTTACGATACAGGGTGATAATTATTACACTCTGTAAGGCGGAGGTGCTATGAGACCTAGCTCAGTTTATTAGGCATCCGGGGAAACTTCTTGGAGAAGTGAAATCTCAGCTGGTGCCTGAAGAATGAGTAGAAGTTCAAGGGAGGGGAGGTAGGAACTGAGGAGGGCCAGGTTCCTGGCAGTTGAAACAGCTTGTTTAAGAGCCTCCGATCCTGAGGGAGTCTATAAGGCTGTAGATGATCAAGTAGTTCAGTGTAGCTAAGCACAAACACCCTCTGATTATATCGCAACCAAATAAGTGCTATGCTTTAAACATGTGTTTTGTGAATATGCAGCACTTATGAATTCTCTTGTATTCTTGATAAAGGGAATAGGCTTTTGAAAACCTATTTTTCTTTGGTAAACAGTATTGAAAATTAGTCACAAAGGACAGATAGGCTATCACTCAGGGTTGGTTGCTGATATCATCTTTATTTTCCTGTAATGGCTGAGTATAGATTATATTAAACATTAGTCACCATGTGAAAAATACACTTTGACACACAGACACATCTTTTCACATCTATTTGTGTAGAAGGCTGGAGGTCAAGCAGGGGGCAATGTCATGTTTTAACAATGCCCTTTTATAAGGATTCAGTTCCAGGAACACTTCTTGGGCATCTTCTGAGTACACAGTATTTGGCTCGGGCTTCAGAGTTTTGAGGGCTTCTAGAAGACAGGGACTTTGTCCATGAAGCATGTGTACATTCCTGGTTTCAAGGCAAGGCATACACAGGTAAACAGCAACTGGAAACTCATTCCCAGGCAACAATGACCCCCTAGGGGTTTGTATCAGGGCCATCAGTTATTTTTTTTTCTTATTACAGTGACATTTTGAGTTAAAAAGATGGAGGTTGGTATTAATAACAGCAAATGTGTTCTTGAAACTGACAAAAGGATGCGTGTCGGGAATCAATAAATTGAAATCTCTTCCAAGCTTATGCTTTTGAACCACAGGTCTGAGAGGTCTCATTCTAGTGTAAATCACAGAGAGTCATTCAGATGTATGAATGTAGAAATGTCCTACAGTAGCAAGGAAATCTTACTAATTTTCCTTCTTGCCTAAAAAAATTTATATATTGTATACAGAGATTAAATGTTAACAATGGTGGTGTTCTTTCTCTCTCCCTACCCAACCCTTAGGTCTATAATTTAACTTATTGGCTAACTAAAATAACTTCTAAATTAAGCAGTGATTTCACATAAGTAGTTATTTTCCATAGATGATAAATCTTATTCATGGACGCAATCATACATGAAGACAGAATCACTTCCTATTTCATTAAAATTTACATATAAAACTTAACTACTTTGTCTTTTTAAAAAATAGTTATTCTAGTCACTTGCAGAGTATCTTGCATTGAATTTCTCTCGGAAAAAATATCTAAAGTTACTGAGATGTTTCTATCAAATATTACACTGTGGTAATGTTCATCAAGCCTTTTATGGATCCTTGATTTTTACATAAAGGTAGTATCTCTGAAACAAAATGCTGTTACTTTTTAGTCCTTTTCATTGAATTCATTTATTCTAGTGGTAATGCTTGATTATTTCCAAGAGCATTGTCAAGCTTTTAATAATAAATATTGGAGTTAATTTAAATGAGTCAAAGTTCATTCTCATTTAGCAGCCATCTATTTAAGTAATTTACCTGCCCAGTCATTCCCTTCTGTGTAGCAATAAACGGAAATGGCTGGAAACCCATCACAAAACTTTTAAGGAAGAAATACAGTGTTTTAATGGAGAATCCTTTTAAAAGCATGAGACAAATGGCCTGGAATTGATGCATATTAAACATGTATTTTATTTCAAGCACTGATAAGTGAATTATATTGAGTTTCTTCAGATTTAACATTATCCTCAGTAAAAAAAAAATAGTGTAACTTTTAATGTTTTCATTGCAATGCTTTACAATATTAAATTTTTTTTCCTGTAGGCCATGAGGTAGTCCTTTGTGGTGAGCTTTTATTTGATGAGAGAGAAACATTGTGTTTATTAATATTTCTCACTTTTTACAGGAGGCTCTGCTTCTATGACTTCATTTGGCCCCCCAGAAGCTCCCTAGATTGTACTCAGGAAATGTTATTACAAGACTTTGTGTCATATTTTTTGAAAAGATGGTTTCCTGTGACTTACATAGAATAGTGTATGATTTCACTGGAATTTTAACATTTCTGCAAAAAGAGTAAAGAGTCCAAGTGGGCCACAATTACTATTTTATATAAAATGATATTAGAAACAGTAACACCAAAGATGAATCCAGAAAGCCATTTTGATATCTAACAAAACCAAACGCTAAAAAATCGCAAATTCTCTAAAACATAGTTTGCATAAAGTCTGCCATTGCCTTATTCCTCTAAAATAATTAAGTAATATATAATGTATAGGAACACCAAAACTAATTTTTCTGTTTCTAAATGTATTAAGATAATATGAAATCATAGTTTAGTAAAATGGATTTCTTTGTTTTATAAATTCATTATATACATATATTAAATGCAATCATAATAATGAATCAAATGCAAGCATGAATTACCCATAAAACTGACTGTTAAACTTTTCTTCCAAATCATTTTACATGATTTTGAGTTAAAACAAATAAAAGAAACATAAATAATGAATACATATTATAACACAGTGTAACAAAAATTGAGGTGTTTCAACTATTTTAAGTCCTATCAACTGTGGGGTTCTGAAGTCATCTTTTACTGTGTGAATCTCAGTTATATATTTACATACTTATATTGAGGATTGCACTTATGGAATATTCAAATGTCTTCTCTGCTTTCCCTGGAACAAACTTTGCCCATTTCGTAAAAGTTCTTCCCCAACCTTCCAAGCGCACGCTGAGCTCACCTCAATTTTTGACATGCTGAAGGAGAGCCATAGAGGGACAGAATTGTATTCTGTTTCAGGAAAAGGACTGAGGAAGATTATCATGAGCTGAAGGAAAATAGCACAGAGAATACAGAAAATGCCTTCTTTCCTAGTTCAAAATTAAATCAGTCTTCATCATCACAAATGCTGAGCTCTCAGCAAATAGTTCCAAACTTCTTACTAGTGCAATTTATTTGAAGGCTGTTTTTGCTCTGTTGTTTTCATATGGCTTGTCTGATGTGTGTGAGTAGTTTTGTCTCATAGCCAACTTCTGCTTCCTTGTTCAGTCCAGTGGTGAGCAGAGCTCAACATTCATAGTGAAAAATAGAATGATAGCCACCTAAGCATAGGAATGACAAACCCCTGAAAAAAATGAACTGCGTTTTGTATAAACCAGTGGGGGCCATTTCTTTCTTATTTGCCACAGGCCAGCAGAACTGGAGCCCTTTTAGAATTGTAACACTATTTTTCCTCTTTTGAACTCTCTGTTACCTCTATTGAGGGAGTGCAGATATGCAAGGGAAGTCTAAATAGGTAACTATGTAATTAAATTCCAAAGATAGACCCCATGATGGTTTCACCTGTCTTATCTGAAGAATTGCATCTTTTCCATTACATGGCTCATTTTCTCCTTAGACTCCACCTTTGGTGGGCCACTGGCTCCAAAGGGATACATGTGATTATTTATTTGCCACTGTAAAATGGCAATTATTTATTTGCTATTTTCTTCTTTTTCCTGATTAATTCAACAAACAAGTTTTGAAAATCACAGATGAGTTGGAAATATTTGATTGTCTTCCCAGTGTACTTATTATACAGGATCAGCATCCTCTCTGACCTCAACTATTTCTCTCTCGCAATGAATGACCTTCTCCTCATCAACCAGCGTTCTCCGTCTTCTGTGGTTCTTGCAGGTTGGAATCACCTGAGGAGTTTTAAAACTTCTGATCCCCAAGGCCCATCCTGAACAATCAAATTAAAATCTATGAGAACAGGATCCATTTATCAGAACTTTATAAAGCTTTCCTGGTGATTCTAACTTTGAGAACCATGTTTATAGATGGAATGAGCTAATAATGTCCGGTGCTTCACCGTATTTTGCATATGTGTTAATTTGAACCCAATTAGCACATCAACAAAGATAAAATTATTAACTGCATTGCCTCTTTCTGTACAATTTCCTTTTGAGCAGCAGAATTGATTCCAGAACAATGATATTGGTGTTTAAAGGAGGAAAATACAAATGAGTAGCTAAAAATAGTTATGCAAATTGACTGGATATATTAGGGTTAATAAAACCAATAACTAACTCTTTACAGATTTAATCCTATGAGAAAGCAGAAGAGAGCCAGCAAAATTTGCACATTCCATTCTAGAAAGTTTTTTATTTATTTTTTTTTAAGAAAGTGTTATTAAAAGAAAGAAAACACTCAGAAGGAAGGTCTAGAGAGATGCCTCAAAAAGAGTAAACAGAATTGCTACCGTCTGGGTTTGCTCTTATGCTTTAAAGACAAAGAAAGAAGGAAGGAAGGGAGGGAGGGAGGGAGGAAGGAAGGAAGGAAGGAGAGAAGGAAGGAAGGAAAGAAGGAAGGAAGGCGGGGAGGTAGGGAGGGCAGGAAGAAAAGACAAAAAAGTAGTGAAAAGAAAAGAAGTGGAAAGCACAGTTGTTATGTAGAACTCCTTTTTCCTAAGCAGCACAAAAATGATTTGTTTTCATATTTGTTTGTTTTATATTGATTTTGGGTTTTCTTTACCTGCAACAATGATTGCTAAAACATTATATTATCATAATATAAAACAAGTTAAAAAATTAAAATTTGTATTTACTTGTAATACAAATAATGTGAAAATAGCATATCTGAAACTTTTATTCGGCAAATAATTTGCTTTTCATTGCTTAGGGTAGTGGTGTTGGTGTTTAGTTTTGGGATCCAGCCTTGAAAATAAGAAGAGATCAAATTGGGGAGGGATGTCAACCAAGCAACTGGCCAAACGAAAATTCCCCCATCTCCCTAATGTTTATTGTGGGTAATTACTATGTCTCCATCCTTTTATTTATTCTATATTTTATTTAATTCCTAAAATACAGTGGCTATTTTCTCCTTCTCGCTGGCTTGGCCAATCACAGCTATTTGCAGCTTTGACATGGTGCAGTTGATGGGGTTAACAGGTCACCCCTCTGTATCTCTTGTCCCTCCACACCCCTCCCCATCATGTCTAACTTCCTCAAAACTTTCTCTTTTTTTGGCTTCAGCCAATCCTGATGAATAGTTGATGCTAGATGTGCTTTATTATAAACATGTATAATTTGTAGGCAGACCTTTATATTCTTCTGAACATGTTTGGTGGTCAGACATAAAGGAAAAGGATATTATTAATTTAAATTTCATAAAGTGAAATGCTATGTTTTTGTTAGAATATCATATTTTTCTAGAAAACTTTCTTTTGTTAAAAAGTATTTTTTCTTCAATGCTGTGCTTTTTTTTCTTCCCTAGTTGTTTGAATTATAATGGCATTCCTTACTAAATTTTTCCACTGTCACTCCATGCATGGGTTAGCATAGACTTGGTTAATTTGTTTTGCCAGTGAAATTAACTTACCACTAAGTACTGAATCTGAATTATTTAAGACAAAATATCATTAAAGTATAGGAAACCAATAAATGCACTGATGAATAAGCATTGTTTACTGTGTGTATGTGACATTTCACAAATGTAAAATGTCTATTCAGATTTTTATCATTTTTTGAAATGCTAAACATGAATGCAAATTCACATGAAATGTCCCATATGGTACAGATGCATCTGTAAGATATGGGTATCTGTGTATATATGAGTATGTAGTAAAGTCGATTGTATTTTGCCCTTATATTGTGTAAACCATGTACGTACCAAGACAATTTTATACATGTTATATCCCTTCCTCTTGCATGCTCATTAATCACTGAGCACTAATAACACATTTTTTTGTCTTGGTACAACAAATATTCTGGCTCTGACTCTCGTTCTGGCTCATTTACATTGGCCTGCCTGTCAGTTCAAAGCTTCAGGGAATTAATATTACAAGATTAAAAAGTGAAGTCCCTTAAACATCCCATCTTATAAACTTGTGGTTAGTTTTGCAGGGAGAAAAAAAAAATAAGCCTTCGAAGGGCAAGGACTTTCAACTTTCTTGGCCAAGATTTCCCCTTTCCTTCTTCCCTCCTTTTCCCTGAATAATGAAAGCCCCAGACTCTCTAGGACAAGGTCCTACCTATGTCCTAGTAATGTGACTTTCTTAAGAGTTTCCCCCTGAGGGATATGTGGTTAAACTGTGATGAGCTTCTGCAGTATTTTGGATGCCACTTCCCTTTAGTTTGCCTTTGATTTGCACTTTTTATCTATTTTAGGATAAGAGTCTGTAGAAACACCTCAATAATCCTTTTTTTTTTTTTTTTTTAAATAAAAAAGAAACATTTTCCACAGCCATCTGGTTTCTATGTAAATGTATGCAGTGACTCTGGAGCCATCCAAATCCCAGTACGCATCTCACTTGCTCACTGACTCTTTTTTGGAGAATCAGAAGAAGAATCAAAAGCCTCTTTGAGGATTACAGAAAAGGAATTCCACATGTGTTAGTGTGTGCATGTATAGGCAATTTATTTTAGAGAAAAGCTCCACTAAAATCAAATGAATATAATCTAAACATGCTTTTAAAAGATTAAAATAAAAAGAGAGATGTATCTGGAAAGCCCTTTGAATTTTTATAGTAGGGTCAATTTATGTGGTTCATCCTATGTATTTTGAGATCAATCTTCAGTGGGACTTACAATAAATGATGTGTTTAAGATTTCTATAGTCTTCCAGTGTGTTATGACACTTATGAAACTATAAGAAACACTCACAGTAAGCTATTCCTGCCTTCTATTATCATTCTACTGTAAGTTATTTCTGTAGATATATTGTTTTCAAGTTTTTATTATATAAATCCTCTTTATTGCTTTTTCATGGGGATGATAATTAACACTTTTATGGCTGTTGTGTATTACAAGTATCTTTATATATAACATTAGAGTTCATATTCAAAACCACTGTATTAGGTAGGTATGGTTCCCAGTCTTTAGGTGAGAAAAAACTAGGTTCAGAGAGTCAAAACCCAGACAATCAGTAAGTGGTAAAGTTGGGAGCTTAAAGTAACAATATATTTAGATTGCCTTTTCTCTTTATTAACTGTATGGCCAATGACAATTTGTTTGACTTTTGTAAGCCTCAGTTTTCTCATTTGCAAAATGAGATTAATATCTATATCTTGGTGGTAGTGGTATAAGGATTAAATGTAATGTATAGTTAGGATGTTTGTACAGTGTCTAGAACATAATAAACAGGGTGGGGTAGTAGTTATTATCATTGATAGTATTATTAGAGGCAGAAGTAGTCACATTTGTGGTGGCATAATAATCAACATCATTATCTAAAATTTACCTATACTTTAGCTGTAAATATATAGGTAATTGAACACTACAATTGTCATTTATAGCTCTATAACTTACATATATATTTCTATATATAGACAAATATGTATTTATATAAATTTAGGGTCTGTGCATAAGAGGATAAAATGAAAGCTTTATTATCGAAGTTCAGTAAAATGTCTTTTTATAATGGAAGATATTACTTAAATGAAAATGTCACTTATTTTGGTAATATGAAATTTCTTTTCTACAGATTACATTTATTTTTTTTTGGAAAAAGGTCAAAATCAAGAGGAAAAATATGGATTGCTCTAGGCGTTTATAAAAAAACACAAGAAAACTTATTTTGCTTAACCATTTCAGATGTCCATGCAAATTTCCACAGAATCGGATGTTGGAAGAGATGAGGCTATAATCTATCATCAGTTTATTAAGATTGTTATTTGCTCTTTTTTAATCTTTTAGACACAGACTGATGGAAATATTATATTTAATAATTTTTTTTCTGTGAATTCTACTGTGGAACTCAGTCACAAGTTTGAACTAGATGTCATTATGTTTTCAAATAATAGTTATCTGAGCTCCAAGCAGATTCTTTCCTCTACTTGCAAAGACTTTCCCTCTTCTTTGTCCAGTTAATTCCTAATCACCCTTAAAAATTCCACCTGTAGGCTGGGTGTGGTGGCTTATGCCTGAAATCCCAGCACTTAGGGAGGCCAAGGTTGGAGAATCTCTTGAGCCTAGGAGTTCCAGACCAGCCCAGGCAACATAGTGAGACCCCATCTCTACAAATTTAAAAAATTAGCTGGTCGTGGTGGCAGATACCTGCAGTCTCAGCTATTCGGGAGGCTGAGGTGGGAGGATCACTTAAGCCTGGGAGGTCAAGGCTACAGAGAGCTGCGTTCATACCACTGTACTCCAGCCTGTGCAACAGAGAGAAACCCCACCTAAAAAAAAATAAAAATCCACCTACCCATCCCCTTTTTAAGAAAGTCTTCTTGACTCTTGAAATAGATTTAGATATTTCTTTTGCTGACACACAAAACACTTTGTGGATACTTCTATCATGGCCCTTGCCATGCTGCATGGTAATCTGCTTACTTCTCTACCCCCTCACTTGGTTCTTATAGGTCGACACACTTTCTTAGTCAGCTTTAAATGCTCATTGGCATATTGTACATAATTTAAAATGCTCATGGGATGAGTGGGCAGCAGCGCTTTAACAGTTTCCCCTGTATCCAGAATTTTTGCAGAATTCAAATCTAAAATAATTTTCTCTTAAAAATATTGCAATGGAACTCCTCTTTGTCACCCATTTATATAAGGAAATACTGGGGCAGGGTAGGTTATAAAATTCAACTTTACTATGAACAAGAACTGGCTCAGGAGGCAATATAAACTGGACAGAGCGAGTTAGATGGCTTCATTCAGTGGGATTCCAACAGCTCTCCAGAATTAAGAATTAAGGGCACGTCTTAGTGCCTTAGAAAAGGATGCTCAATGGTTCACTTTTGCACACAGACAAACAGGCACTTGCTTGCCCACACTCCCCACATAGTTTTGAAGGTAACAATGTCCCAAGCATTTTGAGACTTCTTCTTTGGTTAATGGACAAAACAGCTTCCGAAATAGAAGCATTATAGGAAAATTCTAATCTTGATCTAACTCAGCAATTGAATATAGCTTAAAGCTTATAGCATAATTTCTGGGCCACCTGATAGACTGACTTCAATTATTTTTTGAATCATTAGAATGTAGCATTGTAATTAATTTTTTTTCACAAATCAAGTGTAATAAGATGAATCTCTAATTTTAAAAAAAGTTAATGTTTCCCAAGGCTAAAAAAGAGAAATGTGTTTGTTTTCAAAGATAATCTATGTGCATATTCATCAGTATGTTTCTATATTGATGTTAAATAACATTTCTTTACTTCGGAATGGGTAGCATCACCAGAGAGGATTCTGTGTAAAACTCAGGATACTAGGTAAGGAGCTAACAATATCTACCAGTAGGTTCCGTACAGTATTTTGAACAGTAAAGGATCTTCTTCTAAAGTCAGGTACTCAGATGTAAATAGCCTCAAGTCTCGTGTTTTATATTAACATGGTTAGATAATGTATTCCATGAAATATTTTAGAAGCTCTGACAATCATGTCTCCAGGTGTCAAGTACAACAATTCTCTATCTTATAAGCGAACAGGAGGTTGACCTTGTTTTCCCATACAACTGAAGTTGGGAGCGAGGCCCTGTAGTCCTAACATTTTCATTTAGTAGGTGGACATTACTGAAAAAAAGCTACTAGACACTAGTAGAAAAAGCTGCATCAGCTTTTTCTACAACATTTAATTCATATTGCATTCAGTGATCCAATAATTTTTGTTCCTGCACACTATACATTCATAGACATTGGTTAAATGCCTATCAAATTTAAGTATATTTTAACAAACTAATAGCTTCCTTTTCCATAATAGAATGTTTTAAAACACTCACATGGTGCAGAATAATTTAGTTCAGTTATATGATGACAAGACTAAACAAACTTTCTCTGGAGTTCTGGGTTTTTCATTTCGTTACTTTGCACTGAGCAAGCAAATAGAGATGAGCTATGAAATTTTAGGACTTTGCCTTGAAACACGATCTAGTTGACTTATAAAATCTGAGATGTTGACAAAATGTGCAGTCAATATCCAAATAAATGCAGTTACTTCATTTTATGTCAACGGAGAAGGTGAAAAGTGCAACTTAACTGGCTTGGTAAGATTGGAAGGAGGGGCTGGGAACATACAAGAGACAACAAAGAGATAGTTGGTAAGATTTAGTGGCTTGCTTCATCAGGGGTGGTGAGAAGCCAGTGTGACAAAGTTCAGTCGGGTCAAACAAAGTGCAGAAACTTCCTCATAGACACTGAAAGGAGGGTGTAGCATGGAAACAAAATGCTCAAATGTTGTAATCTTGAGACAGCTAAAATGATAGTCGATGTGCTGTTTCTGTCTAATCCTGCTGTTCCTTTTGATTCAGGAAGTAGAGAAATCACCTTATCTCTCATGTACCAGTATGATATAATTAAAATAGGACATGCTTTTGAAGTGAAGTATTTAAGGGCTTCAAAGAAGGTGTGGAGTGTTATAGGATCAGCATATGTCTCCTTCTCAAAGGCAGTTATGAGGACACATTTATTTAACAAAGACATCCTTTTGAAAGAGGAACTGCCTCAGTAATGATAGAGTGTGTATGTAATGTCTATCGAATTATATACATTGCCAAAGATATATGCAGTTTACTCTCTGACCTAGATCTTGGCAAAAAGACAGGTCAATGTTTTTATGCTTTTTTTTCTTTTTTTTTTTTTTTTTTGAGACACAGTCTCACTCTGCGTCACCATTGCTGGAGTGCAATGGTGTGGTCTTGGCTCACTGCAACCTCTGCCTCCTGGCTTCAAGCAATTCTCCCGCCTCAGCCTCCCGAGTGACTGAGACTACAGGCATGTGCCACCATACCCGGCTAATTTTTGTATTTTTAGTACAGACGGGGTTTCTCTATGTTGGCCAGGCTGGTCTCGAACTCCTCACCTTGTGATCTGCCCACCTTGGCCTCCCAAAGTGTTGGGATTACAGGCGTGAGCCACCGTGCCCAGCCAGCTAATTTTTAATTTTTATTTTTTAACTTCTGTAAGAAAATATCATCCATTTGGCTAAAAGATACATAATTTTCATTATGTTCCCAAATCAACCTATACTACCATATGTACATTACCATAAATTCATGGTAATATACATGACCATAAATGCAAACAACTAAATAATTTTTGTTTTGCAAGGTAGAGCATTTGTTTCAGATGAGCTGATGTCTATGATTTTGCATATGTGGCTATTTGGCAAGCCTTTTGCATCTGACCCTATAGTTGACCTTGGAATTGGCTTACTTTAACCATGATGGATGTACCAAAAGATTTATTTTTGTCATCTAAGAGTTGAGTCCTAGGCTATTGGGAGCATAAAGCTGTTTATTGAAAGTAGGCTTGGCAAACCTTTGCTTTCAAATAATCTTCCAGAAGCTCATCTAATTTTGCTAATTAGAAGGAGATAAAATATACCCACATTGTCCTTTACAATGACTTGAACCCTCTGCCCTTCCTTGATGATAATAGTATTAAACATATGTGTACTTATTGCATTGAATATTAATTAACACGAACTGAAAAGAGAGAATTTTGTTACACACCCAAACATATTCATGAAATTAATATTTAATTTCACACAAGTACTTTACTGTCCGTTTGAAGGTGGTAAAAATAGCAAAGGCAACATGATTTTTAACTTGCTGATCTACAAAAAAATGTTTAAATAGACTCCGATTATTGAAGCCTGATTTTAATAAATAATTCAAGAATGAAAGAACGGTCATTTCTGTGGGAAGCAAAAGGAGACCATTCAACTAGTACTGACCTTGTCACTGAAAATTAAGTTCTTTCTCTGAATCCAAAAATCAAAGCTTAAAAGGCCACTCTCTCTATAATATTTCATTAACTTTTTGAAATGAAATACCTATTGATTAGGTTTTCTTTCAGATAATAAATTCTACATGTCTAATCTGTCACTTCAATTACAGTATTTACTTGTACACAAGGAAAATGTTTTTACATGTGAAATTAATAGACTTTTCCAAATAACATACTGTAAGGGTTCAGGTGGCATAATTTTTCGTTTCTTTGAATAGAATATCCAGAGTGCATCCATCTTTTCTCTTCTAATGTTTTGCCTGTGTTGTTTTCTGCCTAGAAGGCTCTCCTCTCTCTCTGTCCCCTGGATCCTTAACAAGATCCTAGTTATCTCCAAAGCCTAGTTCAACTGTTGCCTCCACCGAGAGGCTTCCTTGAGCTTTTTTTCTAAACAGAATAATCCCTCCTCTTTCTCTGTGTTCCACAGCCCTGTTGACACACACCATTGGTGTGGCCCTTATTGTGCCATGTTATCTCTGCCCTAGGCTGGCTTCTAAGCCTTTTATGGCTCATCTTTTTCATATTGCTATGTCTAGTGCCTAGCCCAGTGGCAGGCACACAGGGTTGTTGAATTTAGTGCTACACATTATGGAAGCTGAAATGTTTGTTTTGACCCTTTGGTTTGTATTTCTTCTTCGTAGAAATCAACGCAACTTCATGGATCTTTATCTTTTAATAGTTTACATGAAGTATCTCACATCTGGCAACTATCACCCCCGACCCAATCATAAATAACATTCAAAGTTATTTAACTTCCTTTATTAAAGGGGAGCTGAAAGGAGCAGCAGACTTTGTTGGCCAACTTCTAGAAAGGAAATAAAGGCCATTCAGACGTCAGAAGATTGTATATGTTAGTTGATACAGTGCATTCAGTGTTCTTAAAGGATCAAACACCAAGTTAGTATTGAACTCAATTTTCCATCTTCTTCAACAGTGTCTAAGTTAAGAATCAAAGTTTGTTGGTGTTAAGATGCTTTAAAGTAGAATGTCTTGGGGCTTCACATACCCTTCAGACACATTTATCCTAAGCTAAATTTACCCTTTATGAAGGGGACAACTTGAACTATTTAATGCACCTTAAAAAGTGGTGGTGAGAGGTAGATACTTTTCAGTTGTTATGTCATGGCCTTTATTCAGTATTTCTGAATCCTCTTACAGATAGAAACACTTGCAAACATTCATCGGGAATTTGGCTAGCAGAATAGTAACCCACCAGCCAAAGCCCACCTCATCCAGTTTCCAGTGGTTGGTTGCTAGAAAGATATTCCAGTGACTGTCCGAAAGCAAAAACAAGCGGACCCGTAGCTGTGCTCCTGTTCTGTGAATGGTGTGCTCCGCAGTGTCCACCTCGGGGTGCTTCTGTGCACCTCTGGGCCCAAAGCTCAGTGAAAACTTTTCACTATTCATAAGGGGGTTCTCAAACCCATGGTAGGTTAGACTTCAAGATCTGGTTTTGATCATCCTAGATTTAGTACTCTGCTGCCTGGAAAATATGAGCTGTGAGTAGTGTGAAGAGCTGTTACTGTAGGACCCACAGTTTGCAAGGTAACTTCAATCTGTACCAGGTGTGATTTGATTTTGCTGAGATGAGGGAGTTGGCAGAGAAGGGAGGGGGGTGGTAGGGAAGAGGCTGTGGAAATACCCTCAGTAAAAAGTACCCAGAGTTGAATCTTCTAGCTGTCAGAACAAGTTCTTCCTGGCAAACTGCGTTAACGGCATTAGCCCCAGCCCACTGTCCTCAGTCTCTTCCTGCACTTGTAGGAGGAAAGTTGGTTCTAAGTTTCTGTTATGCTCAGTAATGAGACAGAATAAGGTGACACGGAAGACAGTGAACCAGAGGAGGGAGAATCCGAGGATCTGCACCGAGTCCCTTTCTTCTAGTCATTAGCTGGGACTTTGGCACGTTGCCGAAATTCTCAGAAGGTCAGTTTGTTCCTTTGTCAAATAATAATTAAATCTTCCCTCTACCCAGAGAGTTTCCTAAATGAACTTTTGAAAGATATTGTCTATAAAAATATTTCAAGACCTGTAAAAAATGTTTTTGACAAGACAGATGTGAAAGTATGCAGCAGAGCATGTGTGTTTGAAATCCTCCAGCCATGAAGATGATTTTCTTAAAGGAGAAGTGTGTATCTCCCGTTCTCATACTCTGACTATCCCTATACTTCTGACAACTTCTAGGCGTTGGTTTCTGTGAACACACCTTGGTCACTACACGAGAGTGTGCTTGGTTTCCTCATCAGTAAACTGGGGACAATAATACCCACCTCCCAGGGTTATCGTGAGGATGAAACAAAGCAACCTGTGTGAGCACAGAGCACTATAGGAGTTCGCTGAATGTTAGTTCCTCACTCTTTCCTCTCCACCCCCATGCCCCTACTCTGGTGAAATAAAATCCTTCTTGTATAACTCAGGAAGCCCCAGGAACACATTCCTGCAAGCCATGGAGGAAAGAAATACTTCCCTGTGTCCTTTTGGAGAGAGCTGGGCTTCGGCTGGGCTGATGTCATAGCTATGCTCCTGGCTGCCTTTTAGTCAGAAGAGATGTTAGTGTGCTGAAAAATAGCCAAGGAGGCTTTTTTCCTCTGCATGGGAAAGAAGACATTTTTGTCCATCCTCCAAGTCTTCCTTGCACAGATTACTGTCAAACCCAAGCACTTTATTTATAAAAATGCCAACATACTCTGATTATTTGGCGAATAACCATGCTGCTGTCAGTGTACAAACAGCACATAGAGTATAAAAACAATCTCCATTTTTATCATGGCTGTCACAGCTGGGAGGCTGTGGAACAAGGATGCATTGTTTGAGGGAAGGGCTGTAGAGGCAACATTCAGGTCCTTTGGTGGCCTCCTGGGCAGAAAGACTGTGGTCACATTTGGTAAACTGTTACATGTTCTTTTACTGAAAAACATTAGGCTTGCCATAAATTAGTTTCTGGGTTCAATATTGAGATCTTGACATACTGTTGCTTTTAGATAAGCATTCCCTGGCCTGCCTGTCTGTCTGCCTCTCTCTTCTCTAATTCATAGGCCGTCCAAATGCCTACGTGCTTCCATGGAACAGGAAGACAGACCCAGTGGCTGTGCAACCAAAGGAAATCCATCATTCACTGATGAATTTCTAATGACTTCATATTTTACTACCACATGGAACTCCCAAATAAAGCCTCTAGAAGGGAAACACACACCCAATACTGGGGGAAGGAGGGGTAAAGAAGTGATGGCCCTTTACTCAGCACTGGTTTCTGACCTCCTCAAGCTGGTTCCTTCTGGGTCAAGGTAGATCCTAGGGAGGATAACTCTCCTGGTTTCAGTAACAGTTGTGAAGCATATGTGTGAGTGCATATGATGACTCTGCATGTCTAAGGTCTAACAGATTGGTCCCAGGATATTACATGTTTTCCCTGGAAAACCATTTCTTTTTTTCCTAAAATGTGTTTCATCATTGTATGAGCTGTTGCTGCTGCTTTTTTTTTTTTTTTTTTTTTTTTTTTTTACCGGAGTCTTGCTCTGTCATGCAGGCTGGAGTGTAGTGGTGCAATCTCAGCTCACTGCAAACTCTGCCCCCCCCGGGTTCAAGTGATTCTCCTGCCTCAGCCTCCCACGTAGCTGGGATTACAGGTGTATGCCAACATGGCTGGCTAATTTTTGTATTTTTATTAGAGATGGGGTTTTGCCATGTTGGCCAGGCTGGTCTTGAACTCCTGACCTCAGGTGATATGCCTGACTCGGCCTCCCAAAGTTCTGGGATTACAGGCATGAGCCACTGTGGCCGGCCTTTTATGAGCTTCTCAGTGGATGAATTGGTATCATTTACCTTTAGTAGGTACTCATTGGCATTTGCTGTCTTTATAATTTTTTTTTTCTTTTTACAGTGGTGAACACTCCAGGAAGAATTAACTGTATAGTCCTTCACTCCTCAAAGAGGAAACTTTATTAAGTTGTTCAGTTGGTTCCATCCTGATAAGTCTTGGTCAGGCTTGGGAAAAAAGTTTTCATGTGATTTTTAATGAAGGAGTTCTTTACACCTATAGCCTATTGAGAGACTAGTGAGCTGCCAAGGAGGTCAATGAGTATGGAGAATAAAGCGGTATACAAAAGACAAAGCCCTAGAGCCTCTTTGTGAATGAATAAAATAAAATTGGGTGTTAGCCCTTGCACCTAATTCCCAATCTGGCCAAATAGGTGTTATCTTTATACCTCTATTGGCAGGTTCCATCACATCTCAAATAAAGAAAATAAAGAAGAAAAATATTTGGGTCTAGATAACATCGTGGGGTTAGAAATACTCTCAGTACCACCTAAGAGGAAACACACACGAGATTCAGTTAATTTTCATGCTAAATCCAAGTGTCATATCACACCACCAGAAATTCAAGTAACTTCTTATAGTTCAGAAATAAATGATGGTGTTGACAAGGGGTGCCACATGTGAAGAAACCAATATTATTTTGTAAGATTATGTAAGCAAAGCTGGAGATACATGGAGAAACTGTGTGTCCTTTAATAATCCCAGCTCTGGAAGGACAGCCTCAGAAACTGGAAAAAAAATCACTTCGGTGGCTCCCTGTGTTCTTCAGAAAGAAATCCAGTTTCATTAGTTTGATATTTAATTAGGACAGCAACCATGAGTAGTGTCTTTCCTCTTTCCTTTCCAAAAATGTCTCTTCCACTGTCTTTTCTAGTGCCATGTCTCATGTTTTGGTAAAACTAATTGAACCTTGTATCTGTACTGCTGTTCATGTTTGACCTCCTCCCTTAAGTGTTAAGCAAGTCCTCCCTGACCACGCTTGTCCCACCCTCCCTCCACAAAACCACATAGGTCCACATTCCATCTCCCTGAAGAGTCACTGCCCAACTCTTCAAGGCTTTGTTTAGCTACCTTCTTTTCTGAGATACATTTTCTGATCAGATTGAACCAGTTAAACCAGATTTAAACTCTTTTTTTTTTTTGAGACGGAGTCTCGCTCTGTCACCCAGGCTGGAGTGCAGTGTTGCAATCTCAGCTCACTGCAACCTCCACCTTCCCGGGCTCAAGTGATTCTCCTGCCTCAGCCTCCCAAGTAGCTGTGAGTAAAGGCGCGTGCCACCATGCCCAGCTAATTTTGGGATTTATAGTAGAGACTGGGTTTCACTGTGTTAGCCAGGATGGTCTCAATCTCCGGACCTCGTGATCCACCTGCCTTGGCCTCCCAAAGTGCTGGGATTACAGGAGTGAGCCACCTCACCCGGCCCACTCTTTGTATTCTAACAGCACTTTTCCTATCCATTTAGCATTTCACAATTTACTTTTAATGTAGTAGTTTATATTTTTTGTCCAATAAGTTTTACTTCTTGAGCATAGACTGTACATCCTTCCAGTGTCTTAGATATGAATGTTCATGGAATTATATTAGAGTGGTGGCCTTCCTATCCTGGCATGGCTGTACTTACCAACAGGAAGCACACCAGCTTTGAAGCACAGACCCATTGCCAAATCCCCTCATGGAGACCCTGGGTTATTTTCTGGTAAGTTATTAGCCCCTCTGAGCCTCAGATTTCTCATCCAGTTACTGGCAGTTCATTTATAAAATATATTCTAGCACAGAACCTAGAAAGTAATATATGCTCACAAAAGGGCAGCTTTTTCCTATCACTCCATCAGAATTTCTTAGCTTATGTCTTCCTGTAATAATGAAGCAAAAACAAAAACACAATATAACAGTTCTCTACAGTGTTGCTCAAAATGTCAAAATAAAGATGTGGCCAATAAAAAAGAAAGAAAATACAGTTTCATTTCACTGAATTACAATATTGACTATGCTTTTCAAAATACACTTGTCCCCTATTGAAATTCTAGGACGTTTTCTTGAAAATATTATGGGTTCTTCCACTGGTGGACCATCCCATTCCCTTCCTTCTTTCCTCTTATACCATGATAATCAGTGCACTAAATTGTAAGCTCTCTGAAAACAGGGGGGTCATTGGCTTTAGATCTGTGACTAGAACCTGGGAAAGGGTTAGTCTTTAATTACCGTTTCCTCCTGACCAACTATACCTCTACTCAGATCCCTCTTTATCCTTCCTCCTCAGGGACCTTACGTCATCAATTTTTCTTTCTCTCTGTATGTCTTCAACATCACTTTGTATCCTTAGGATCACCAGACTTTCTGGCTGGCCTCAGACAGTCCCAGTTTATTCCTATTGTGTCAGCATAAGTAGCATCCTCTTTTACCCTCAAAAACATCTGGTTTGGATGACATATGTTTCTCCTAATTATATCTGACCTTAACCTTTAACCATCCAAAAGCTCAAATTCTCCCATCCTAAAAAGACCTAACAGGCACATACATTCTAAAATCCGCATCCAATCCCTTATTTTTCTCTCCTTCCCTTCATCGTCACACGTCTTAAAAGGATTGTCTACATCCATTTCTCCATTTCTTTATCTACTATTATTTCTCTAGACAATCGTCTTATCTCTACTACTCTTCTGAAATTGCTCTGGGCAAAGTCACCGTACGACCTCTTGTTAAATCCTTTGAACATGTGAAGGGGTCTGGTTAGGTGATTTACAAGCTCCTTCTCCACCTCTAATAAGATGCTATACATTTGAAATATTTCTTGACTCTCATCTTGTTAACCAAGACAGTTAACTGGTTGAGGTTCTATCACCCATGTGTCCACAGTCATGTTATACCTTATCTCATTTAGTTCACACAACAACCCTCTGAAGTAGGTATCATTTCCCCACTTTACACATAGGGCAGAAGAGAGATTGATAACTTTCCCACTTTCTCACAGCTACTGATGATGGAGCTAAGACTCTCATTTCCAAAATAAACTCTGTTATTTTTCCATTACACAATTCTCTCTTCTTCCCAACCGTTAACATCTGTTTCCATATGACCAATTCATTATAGACACTAAAGAGTGGTGTGCTGATTTTTTTTTTATTATACTTTAAGTTCTAGGATACATGTGCAGAATGTGCAGGTTTACACATGCCATGGTGGTTTGCTGCACCCATCAACCCGTCATCTATATTAGGTATTTCTCCTAATGTTATCCCTCCCCTACCCCCCACCCCCTGACAGGCCCCAGTGTGTGGTGTTCCCTTCCCCATGTCCATGTGTTCTCATTGTTCAACTCCCTCTTACGAGTGAGAACATGCAGTGTTTGGTTTTCTGTTCCTGTGTTAGTTTGCTGAGAATAATGGTTTCCAGTTTCATCCATGTCCCCGCAAAGGACATGAACTCATCCTTTTTATGGCTGCATAGTATTGCATGGTGTATATGTACCACATTTTCTTTATCCAGTCGATCACTGATGGGCATTTGGGTTGTTTCCAAGTGTTTGCTATTGTGAATAGTGCTGCAATAAACATACATGTGCATGTGTCTTTTTTTTTTTTTTTTAGACAGAGTCTCACTCTGTCACCCAGGCTGGAGGGCAGTGGTGCGATCTTGGCTCACTGCAACCTCTGCCTCCTAGGTTCAAGGGATTCTCCTGCCTCACCTCCCGAGTAGCTGGGATTACAGGCACCCACCACCATGCCCAGCTAATTTTTGTATTTTTAATAGCGACGAGGTTTCACCATGTTGGCCAGGCTGGTCTCGAACTCCTGACCTCAGGTGATCCACCTGCCTAGGCCTCTCAAAGTGCTGGGATTACAGACATGAGCCATTGTGCCCAGCCCTGCATGTGTCTTTATAGTAGAATGATTTATAATCCTTTGGGTATATACCCAGTAATGGGATTGCTGGGTCAAATGGTATTTCTGGTTTTAGATCCTGGAGGAATCGCCATACTGTCTTCCACAATGGTTGAACTAATTTACACTGCCATCAACAGTGTAAAAGCATTCCTATTTATCCACATCCTCTCCAGCATCTGTCGTTTCCTGACTTCTTAATGATCGCCATTCTAACTGGCATGAGATGGTATCTCATTGTGGTTTTGATTTACATTTCCCTAATGACCAGTGATGTTGAGCTTCTTTTAATATATTTGTTGGTCACATAAATGTCTTCTTTTGAGAAGTGTCTGTTCATATCCTTCACCCACTTTTTGATGGGGTTGTTTGTTTTTTTCTTGTAAATTTAAGTTCCTTGTAGATTCTGGATATTAGCCCTTTGTCAGATGGATAGTTTGCAAAAATTTTCTCCCATTCTGTAGGTTGCCTGTTCACTCTGATGGTAGTTTCTTTTGCTGTGCAGAAGCTCTTTAGTTTAATTAGATCCTATTTATGTATTTCGGCTTTTGTGGCCATTGCTTTTGGTGTTTTAGTCATGAAGTCTTTGCCCATCCCTGTGTCCTGAATGGTATTGCCTAGGCTTTCTTCTAGGGTTTTTATGGTTTTAGGTCTTACATTTAAGTCTTTAATCCATCTTGAGTTAATCTTTGTGTAAGGTGTAAGGAAGGAGTCCAGTTTGTTTTCTACATGTGGCTTGCCAGTTTTCCCAGCACCATTTATTAAATAGGGAATCCTTCCCTATTGCTTGTTTTTGTCAGGTTTGTCAAAGATCAGATGGTTGTAGCTGTGTGGCGTTATTTCTGAGGCCCCTGTTCTGTTCCATTGGTCTACATATCTGTTTTGGTACCAGTACCATGCTGTTTTGGTTACTGTAGCCTTGTAGTATAGTTTGAAGCCAGGTAGCATGATGCCTCCAGCTTTGTTCTTTTTGCTTAGGATTGTCTTGGCTATACGGGCTCTTTTTTGCTTCCACATGACATTTAAAGCATTTTCTTCTAATTCTGTGAAGAAAGTCAATGGTAGCTCATATTTTTAAATTGTGTAGGTTCTAAAAATTAGACCCACTAAGCATTAGTCACTGTCCTAGGAGTGGTGACAGTTGTGGATATTTAAACCAGAGATAAGGGAAGTAGCTGTTGCTATGTAAGTAGTGAGTTTCTGGATTTCAGTAAAATAAACCAGGATTTCGTTTCTTGAAGTAATTATACTCTGGAGAGAGGAAAGAAGGATGGAGACAATTATGAATGACCTTACATCTCTGAGCTGTTGAGAACTTCTGGATCAGTGGCTGATGTTTTCATAGCCTTTTCAAGTGAAACCTTTCAGTGAAGTCTCAAGCCACAGACCACCAGTTGACAAAAGGATTTTTTTTTCAAGGATATTAACCATAACTTGAGTATCATATAATGATTGTCATATTAAAGAAAAAAACCTCCAGCCACATTTTTAAAGCTATTTAACCTTTCTGAAAACTCAGAGTTTTGAAACTTTTTAGTATCATTCAATTCGTTTTGAGTGTTATCATTTCAGTGATTTGTTTAACTTTAATGTAAGAATTGGCAAGGAGTTTCTATAAAACAAATACAACTCGTATAACAACTCTAAGCCAGTAATATTGCTGATACCACTGAAACCCTTATCCCTGGACTTAATTGCTCTGAGGACCGTAATAAGTGAAGAAAACTGTTGAATAAACTCTTTGTAAGGTCCCTCACGCTGGGAAATAGTTAAGTCCATTTCTTATCTCTGGAATCATGCCCTTTTTGATCTAATTTACCAAGTATTGTGATTGCCAATATAATGAGAATTCTAAGATAGACAGATGTAAATGAGGAATAATGGGCAGGATTTTTCTTTTAACTAATGACACACAGTAATGAAACTTGATTAAAAGTATATGTCTTTTGGCCGGGCGCAGTGGCTCATGCCTATAATCCCTGCAATTTGGGAGGCCAAGGCACGCAGATCACTTGAGCTTAGGAGTTCAAGACCAGCCTGGGCAGCATGGCAAAGCTCTGTCTCCACAAAAAATACAAAAATTAGTGAGATGTGGTGGCACATGCCTATAATTCCCAACTACTTGGGAGGCTGAGGTGGGAGGATCATCTGAGCCTGGGGAGGTCGAGGCTGCCATGAGCCATGATCATGCTACTGCACTCCAGTCTGGGTGACAGAATGAGACCCTGTCTTAAAAAAAGTATATTTTCTTAAAGTGACAAATGTTTGACATATGTGAATGCATATGAGATCTCCTCTCTGTGGGACATTTGTGCCCCTTATCTCATTTTACATAGCCATAGACACAATATAAAATCATCAAACTTTGTTGATATGACTGCCTCACCCTCAAATGCATCCTGAGAAATTTAAAATAGTTTTATAATGAAACTGTTTAGTATCTGGGTATTTTTGGCAAGCAGTTTATAGATACTGTTCTTTTATTTAAGGCCACCACCTTTTAACAAGATGTGAGAGGGTGTTTTAATTCTTCTGCGTTGTTTCTGAGCTGTGTGTTTATTTGGCAACTTCATTCTTTGAGTTGTCGAAAGAACAGAAGTTTGTAAATTATACAACACTAAACAGTGGATGCCATCCATGGCTTTTAGCCCAGGCCCTGTCAAATGGTTTTCTATTTTCTGTCCTGGCCTTAAACATTATTGTGAATTACAGAAGCATTAGTATTCATCAATTTAAATCTATTGTTTTTTAATTAGTTTCTAAAACTCTAATTTTAATTAAGAAAGCACAGGCTCTTGTTGAATATGTTGGTAAAATAATTATTGACCAAAGAACAAATAACTTTATTGTTAAATATTTAGGCTCATATTTGACTTTACCTGTGTTAGGCAATTTTTTTTATGTTATGGGGCTATGCCTTTATATAGCATCTAGCAATGAAATATATCTATGTCATTACATTGGTGACATTACACCAATGTTGTATAATTTTGGTTAACTGGTAACATTCATGGAATAGATATATGCCATCGCTAGATGATATTTGATTCCTTTGTTATTACAAAGGAATACAGGAATTGCAAACTGGTTTTAATCTGGCGCTCTTTGGGTTCAGTGACAATGTGTTGAGATCCCATGGTACTGATTACTATTGAGGCTGGAGGGAACTGTGGTAGTATATGGCCATGAATTTATTATTCTTGTTACATACACTCCCAGAAAATGCTGTCCAAAGACCTAACATGCAAAGACACAAAGCTGTTAACTTTTTAATAACTTTTCTTCCAGTCACCAGTAAGATGGTTGAATTTGTCTCTTTCCCATCCTCTTTGCTGCTAAAGAAGGAGGCCAAACATCTCTAGAAAAGGTCTCGGTCTGTGTACTTTGATTCTCAACTCATGAGCACAACTGTATTTTACAAAGAATAAACAGATATATCCGAATGAAGTGTGAAAAGAGCCAAACAGGACAGTGTGAGACTTGGATGAGTGTCTGGGTCCCATCTGTTTCACATTTAGGTTCCTAGGGTCAAGGACTACAGGGCTGATTTTGGTGGCTCCCCTGCCGCCCTTCTCAGTTGCCCTCTGGACTTGGCCTGGGAGGATGGGAGATGTGGGAAAGCCCTGTCAGCTGGCTCAGAACCCACCCTATTCTGCAGGCATATCTGGATTGCAAAAGCAGCGTGGGTGGCACTGGGTCTGAGGATCAACAATCTCACTCACTCTGTGTCTTGGAAAGTTACTCAGGGCCTCAATTTCCCCATCTGTAAAGTGAGGATAATAGTAGCTGTTAAGAGGAATTGAAGGCATGGGAACTACACAGGGCCCTGCACAGTGTTTTCCACATAGTAGTTACTTAACAAATGTGCCTGTTGTTGATCTTCATAAATATTCATAAATATTCAGGAGAATAAGGGATAACTATAAATATTCCAGAATCCTCCAGCTTCCTCATAGAAATTTCTAAACTTCCCTTAGCACTTTTTAAGTAAGAATATCGTTGCCCTAAAATTAATATCCCTTTCCTATATTCTTCTTTTTGCCTTTTCCTCTCTATCAGTTTCTGCGGCCAATGCTTGCTTTTTTTTCTCCCCATTTACTCTTCCCTAGTTCCCCTTCTGTCTCTGTTTTATTCTCTTCTTTCTTTTCCCTTTTCTTCTCTTTCCCACTTTCATTCTTGGGCATCTTTTATTGTCCTCTCTTCATTCTCTTCTTATTTCTTCTTCTCATACTTTTCTATCAAAAGGTAGTTGTGAGAATTACTAAGACAATGAAAATCAGTGTAAAAATTGGAAAGTTATTTTAACTAATTAAACACTAATTTTAGTTAGCAGGTGACATTGATGGTGTTACATTGGAGCAGAACATGGACTAAGCAGAGACTGTGAACTATGCACGTGCTATAAATCCCCTTTCCTCTTAACTCATTCCATCTTTAGAGATAAATGATCATGGATGACTGATGTTTGAGTTCATTTATTTGTTCATCTATAAAGAAGTGCTAAGTATGTGCCAGGCATTGTGCAGCAATTTTGGAGGAAGACAGTTACTATGCCATATGGTCAATTCATTCTTGATCCATCGTAGGAAGTGGTCAGTGAAGTAATTGTGGAATTAATGGCCAAAGAAGAGAAATGGCTGAATGGAGCTGACCTTGTGAAGAAGACAAGGAAGGAGGAAGCTCTGGATGTTCTAGCAAAGTGTAGCTAATTGTGTACAGCAGATCATACAGTATGAGAAGTCAGAAATAAGATGGGACTGGGTCCATAAGGAACCTTACATTCTGAATTTGTTGTTAGGTTAGGATGTGGTAGCATATAGATTCCAAAAGTTCTGTGACTTGATAAAATGGAAGTCTGTTTCTTGATCAGTGTTTGGTCCTGTCAGTTGTCCCGGTTCAGTTGTCTTAACTAGTTAGCCATAGTCCATCACTTGTGAATACTCTTTGCTTATATCCTTACCTCTCTTACTTCTCAACTGGCCATTCCCAAGCTCTAGTTTGATCTGATTCTCCACCTACTCTTCCTCTGCACCTCTCTTAAAGAACCATTTTATACCTTCTTCTATTTACCTTAACCTCTATACCTTTTCCCCTCTTCACTGTCAGCTGATAATAACCATATCTGTTATTTCACTGAGGAGCTAGACTAAGATGAAAATATCTACATGCCACATCACCAAATCAACCAAGCCTCCTGTATCTGTCCCCTCTTATTCTGCCTTTCCTTCTGTCACTCTGTCCTTGGTGTCCTTGCTCTAGTGTAAGGTGAATTTCCTTCCATGTACATGGGATCCCATTCTCTCTCACCTCCTGCAGACATCCTTCAGCTATTCTGCCCTCTCTCTGTAGTATCATCTGATTTTCTCTCCCGCTAGATATTTCCATTAGTGTATGAACACACTGTGCTATCTTCCATCCTCAAAAACAAATCTCACTAGACCCTACTTACCACTCCAGCTATTGCATTATTTTTCTCCTCCTCTTTAGAGCAAAACACTGCAATTTACACTTTCTCTTTTTTTCCCAACCTCATCTCACATCATCAAAGAGATTCTCTTTTTAGGGCCATCAGTTACTGTCATGTTGCCAAATCCAATGGCCAATCCTCAGGCCTCATTCTATACTATTTACTTTTACACTTTGACTCAGTTATTCATTTCTTTCTTTCTTTCTTTTTTGAAAAACTCTAGTTGCTTGAGTTCTTGCAAACCATTTACTTTTGATTCTCTTCTTATTTCACTGGTTGTCTCAACTTGCTTTTGTGGTTACTTGTCCTCTTTTCACCCTTTAAGTATTGGAGCACCCAGATGCTCAGTACTTAGATCTTTTCACATCTCTCTTCATGCTCATTCTCCAGGGCAGTGTTTCTTTCCAATGTCGCAGTTTCAAATGCCAGCCCTACTTGGATGACTCCTAAATTTATATCTCTATCCCAGATCTCTCCCTTTAATTCCACGTTTGGAGATCCAACTACCAGCTGACATCCCCACATGGATGACTAACAGGCATCTCAATATTAACATGTCAAGAACTGAACTTTTGGTTTTTCCTCTCTCCCCAGACCTGCTCCTCCTAGTGTCCTCCTTATTCTATTAGGTGCTCAGGTAAAAAAAAATTGGAGTTGGCCAGGCACGGCGGCTCACGCCTGTAATCCCGGCACTTTGGGAGGCCGAGGCGGGCGGATCACGAGGTCAGGAGATCGAGACCATCCTGGCTAATCCTGTCTAACACGGTGAAACCCCGTCTCTATTAAAAATACAAAAAATTAGCCGGGCATGGTGGCGGGCACCTGTGGTCCCAGCTACTCGGGAGGCTGAGGCAGGAGAATGGCGTGAACCCTGGAGGCGGAGCTTGCAGTGAGCCGAGATCGCGCCACTGCACTCCAGCCTGGGCGACAGAGTGAGGCTCCAACTCAAAAAAAAAAAAAAAAAAAAATTGCAGTCATTCTTGCCTCTTCTCATTCTGTCACATCTACATCAAATTAATCATCAAATCACATCAATTTATTTATTAAAAATATAGTTGTCATCTGCTTCTTGTCAATCGCACTACCCTGGTCAACATCACCATCATCTCTTGCCAAATGAAGGCAGTGTATACTATACTTGGTTGGTCTCCTTGCTTCACCCTTTGTTGTGCCATAATCTGTTCTCCACATTGCAACCAAGGTGACTGATTAAAAACATAAGTTAGTTCCAGACTCTCTAGTGGCGTCCCAACTCAGAGTCAAATGCAAAGTTCCTACCGTGCTCACAAAGCCCCGCGTGGTCTGGGCCCAGCTCCTCTCTGACCTCATCTCCTACCACCTACTCCTGTGTAATCACCACAGTGGCCACCTTGCTTCTCAAACACTCCAAATAGTCCCTACATCTAGGCCTTTGGGTTATTATTTTTTAAAATGTGAACATTGCATCTTAAACCACGGTATCAACTTTTTTTTGAATCACAGGCTTTTTCCTCCTCATTTCTGGCCACCTGCAGAATTCATGAAGAAGGTCATGAGCTTGTCTTTTAGTAAAGTATTTCTAAGAGGATATTGCTCTCCATCCTTGTCCAGTTCCCATTTTAAAAATTTAGAGAAAGGTAATTTTTGAAAAACAAAAGTACAAAAAAAAAAGAGTAAAATGTAAAAGAAACACTTTTTTTCTTTAAGGCTTTTGACTTGA